>NC_000011.10:39605454-39756969 GCF_000001405.40 Homo sapiens | reverse complement strand
TGCTTGACTGTAAAGTATTTTATTTCTCCTTCACTTATGAAGCTTAGTTTGGCTGGATATGAAATTCTGGGTTGAAAATTCTTTTATTTAAGAATGTTGAATGTTGGCCCCCACTCTCTTCTGGCTTGTAGAGTTTCTGCCAGGAGATCCGCTGTTAGTCTGATGGACTTCCCTTTGTGGGTAACCCGACCTTTCTCTCTGGCTGCCCTTAACATTTTTTCCTTCATTTCAACTTTGGTGAATCTGACAATTATGTGTCTTGGAGTTGCTCTTCTCGAGGAGTATCTTTGTGGTGTTCTCTGTATTTCCTGAATCTCAGTGTTGGCCTGGCTTGCTAGATTAGGGAAGTTCTCCTGGATAATATCCGGCAGAGTGTTTTCCAACTTGGTTCCATTCTCCCCGTCACTTTCAGGTACAGCAATCAGACATAGATTTGGTCTTTTCACATAGTCTCATATTTCTTGGAGGCTTTGTTCACTTCTTTTTATTCTTTTTTCTCTAAACTTCCATTCTCGCTTCATTTCATTCATTTCGTCTTCCATAACTGATACCCTTTCTTCCAGTTGATCTCATCGGCTCCTGAGTCTTTTGTGTTCTTCACATAGTTCTCGAGCCGTGGCTTTCAGCTCCATCAGGTCCTTTACGGACTACTCTGCATTGGTTATTCTAGTTATCCATTCGTCTAGTTTTTTTTCAAGGTTTCTAACTTCTTTGCCATTGGTTTGAATTTCCTCCTGTAGCTCAGAGTTGTTTGATCGTCTGAAGCCTTCTTCTCTCAACTCGTCAAAGTCATTCTCCCTCCAGCTTTGTTCCGTTGCTGGTGAGGAACTGTGTTCCTTTGGAGGAGGAGAGGTGCTCTGCTTTTTAGAGTTTCCAGTTTTTCTGCTCTGTTTTTTCCCCATCTTTGTGGTTTTATCTACTTTTGGTCTTTGATGATGGCAACGTACAGATGGGTTTTGGTGTGGATGTCCTTTCTGTTTGTTAGTTTTCCTTCTAACAGACAGGACCCTCAGCTGCAGGTCTGTTGGAGTTTGCTAGAGGTACACTCCAGACCCTTTTTGCCTGGGTGTCAGCAGCTGTGGCTGCAGAACAGCGGTGGCTGTAGAACAGTGGATTTTGGTGACCCGCAAATGCTGCTGCCTGATCGTTCCTCGGGAAGTTTTGTCTCAGAGGTGTCAGTCTGCCCCTACTGGGGGGTGCCTCCCAGTTAGGCTGCTCGGGGGTCAGGGACCCACTTGAGGAGGCAGTCTGCCAGTTCTCAGATCTCCAGCTGCGTGCTGGGAGAACGACTACTCTCTTCAAAGCTGTCAGACAGGGACATTTGAGTCTGCAGAGGTTACTGCTGTCTTTTTGTCTGTCTGTGCCGTGCCCTGAGAAGTGGAGCCTACAGAGGCAGGCAGGCCTCCTTGAGCTGTGGTGGGCCCCACCCAGTTCGAGCTTCCAGGCTGCTTTGTTTACCTAATCAAGCCTGGGCAATGGCAGGCACCCCTCCCCCAGCCTTGCTGCTGCCTTGCAGTTTGATCTCAGACTGCTGTGCTAGCAATCAGTGAGACTCCGTGGGCGTAGGACCCTCTGAACCAGGTGCAGGATATATAATCTCCTGGTGTGCCGTTTTTTAAGCCTGTTGGAGAAGCGCAGTATTAGGGTGGGAGTGACCCGATTTTCCAGGTGCCGCCTGTCACCCCTTTCTTTGACTAGGAAATAGAACTCCCTGGCCCCTTGTGCTTCCCGAGTGAGGCAGTGCCTCACCCTGCTTCAGCTCACGCACGGTGGGCTGCACCCACTGTCTTGCACCCACTTTCTGGCACTCCCTAGTGAGATGAACCCAGTACCTCAGATGGAAATGCAGAAATCACCCATCTTCTGCGTCGCTCACACTGGGAGCTGTAGACCGGAGCTGTTCCTATTCAGCCATCTTGGCTCCACCCTCTGGCAGACTCTCTTTTTAGAGGCTAATGCAGCTGGTGACTTCAAGTTGAAACCAGTATTCATTTATCTTTCTAAAAATTCTAAGCCCTCAAGAGTTATGTTAAATCTACTCTGCCTGTGTTTAATTAATAAAAGAACAAAGCCTGGATGACAGCACGTTGGTTTATAGTATGGTTTACTAAATATTTTAAGCCCACTGTTGAGACCTTATTCTCAGAAAGAGAAAAAAAAATGCTTTCAAAATATTACTGCTCATTGACAATGCACTTGATTTCTCAAGAGCTCTGATGGAGATGTGTAAGATTAATGTTGTTTTCATGCCTACTAACAAAATATCCATTCTGCAGCTCATAAATCCATGTAATTTTGTCTTTCAAGTCTTATTATTTAAGAAATGCATTTTGTAGGGCTTTCACTGCCATAGATAGAGTCCTCTGAGGAATCTGGGTAAAGTAAATTGAATTCTGGAAAGAATTCACTGTTCTAGATGCCATTAGGAACATTCGTTATTCATGGGAGAAGGTCAAAATATCAACATTAACAAAAGTTTAGAAAACATTGATTCCAACCCTCATGAATGACTTTGAGAGGTTCAAGACTTCAGTGGAAGAAGTCACTGAACATGTGGGGAAAACAGCAGGAGACCTAGAATTAGAAGTGGATCCTGAAGATGTGAATGGATTGCTGCAGTCTCATGATAGAACAGTAATGGATTAGGTGTTGCTTCTTAGAGATGAGCAAAGAAAGTGGTCTTTTGAGGTGGAATCTACTCCTGCTGAAGATGCTGTGTAAATTGTTGAAATGACAGAAGAGGCTTTACAATATTACATATACTTAGTTAATGAAGCAGCAGCAGAGTCTGCACGGATTGACTCAACATTTTGAAAGAAGTTCTACTGAGGGTAAAATGCTATCAAATAGCATGGCATGCTACAGAGGCATCTATCATGAAAGAAAGAGTAAATCCATGCCACAAACTTCATTGTTATTTTAAGAAATTGCCACAGCCACAAAACCTTCAGCTGCTACCACTCTGATCAGTCAGCAGCTGTCAACATAGAGGCAAAACCCTCCACCAGCAAAAAGATTACAACTCACTGAAGGCTCAGGTGATAGCATTTTTTAGCCATAAAAATAAATTAAGGGATGTACATTAAAAAATAACTATGGCACACTTAATAGACTATAGCATAAACATAGCTCTTGTATGCACTGAGAAACCAAACCATTGTGTGACTTTATTGGAATGGTCTGGAACTGAACCTGCAATATCTCTGAGGCATGCCTGCACTAGGACAATATGCTAGGTGGTCTTGGTATTATAAAAAAAGAGACACAACAGGGTGTAACTTCTAGTATTGGCATATGTATTTGAGGTTGGAAGATGAGCTCACTACAAAAGTAAAACACTATCCTATACAATTAGCATCTTTCAATGAATAACAGAAAAAGAGGCATAGCAATAATAAGACACGAAAAGTAACATCTTCTGAAATAAGGCTTCATTATAATTTTCATATCATCTGTGGTGGAGAGAACAAAGCTAGTTTTTTTAACTACTTAAGGTTTTTATTGACTTTGCTTTTGTTATATCAGTTCCCTCTGTGATGTGTAGTTTCTCTTACGGTCTGGCCAATGAAAGATATTGCTTTCTTCCAAAGATGTCCTTTGTCTTTAATTAATTGACAACACAACTACAGCATGTAAAGCAAAATCTATCATCTAAAATCCCTATATAAGGGACAAGAGAAATATTGTGTGGCAATGAGAGTAACTGAATTTAGAATTTAAAATATAAAGGTTGTACTTAATATGACACAGGCAACTGACTGCTGTCTGCTCTCCACTCCTCACCTACCACTATAAAATGGTAATAATCTTTTTTAAAGTAATGTGTGCATAAATAGATCAAAATATTTTTTTCATAGAAGTGTGATATTTCTAATTTTTAATCTATAAATCAGAGAAACAATGTAGCCTTTGTAGAAACTAATAATGCCTTAATTTTCTTTTCATTTTGTCTCAATAGAATTAAGTTCTGCCTGTATCAGAAACTGGAATAAAGCAAACTTCTTGTGGGGTCTTCTGAACAGGAAGAAAAAAAAGGTTCTTTTCTTCAGTTTGATCAGATAGAGCTCCATAAAGGAAATTGGATTTATTTTGAAAGAGGGCAATGGGTTGACTTTTTAGGAAAGAGGCTTTTAGTCAAAGGCACCTTGTGAGAAGCAACAAAGCTATAGGATTTTTTTAAAAAAACAAATGGAAAAAGAGAGAGAGAGAGACAAGAGGGTAAGCTATGAGCAGGTAAAAAGAGCATATGGCAAAACTTAAAACCCTCTATGGGGAAAAGAGAAGAAAAGGATTCTTTGCTTATGGTTTCAGGGGAAAAAAGACCAACTTTGATAAAGTCTGTTAGTCTAAGAGTTGCCTTTTTTCAATTAAATATAAACTTTTCTTGGCAGGTACTATTTTGATTTTGTAATCATTTGCATCATAAGACTTAGTATCTTTTGAAAGCTAAGAGATTAAATGATATGTATTTAACCTCTGATATTTGAATTTGACATTTATGTGACTATGTGTATTACATATACTAAATTTCATAAATTCTTGACAATATTATTCTTCAGTTATTCATATCATATCATAATGAATATGGTATACTTACAACCTCACATGAGTTGAGTAATCTTTTTTCATGTCCATATTAATATCACAGCAAAACAATAACAAAGTCACTTTTGCTACTAGTTTAGATTTAACATTAGTAAAAATTACACATTGGTTATAGAGTCATGGGCAAGACAAAAAAGGAAAAAAAACCCTTAATTTTGATCTTTAGGCTTAGAAATCAATATAGTTGTTTACTGTGAACTTGGTCTTTTATAGATAAATTGAAAAGTGCACAATAATTTTTGAATCACCAAAATGGAGTCATGAAAAAGTGAAAAAAACACCTGTTATAATGAATCAGTGGGGGTCCTGTTTTTATTTCATTTTGCCTTCTCCTTATTGCACCCACTTACCACTTACAGTAATAAGGTATCCGCAGAGATATAACTCAAACTGTCATGGTTTACATGAGAAATGAATTTTTAGAGATATTATGTTGGGACATGGTGCTAATGTTAGCCTTTCCACTCTTTCCGCAATTTTATGCATTTCAAAGTTTGATGCACTTACAAATGTCATATGGCAGCCAAAAACCAAACACTTCCTCCTACCTTATTTTCTTTTTTTCACCAAAAATTTGTTAGAATTTTACTTAGCTCTAGCAGAAGACACAAAGATGAATAATGGCTAATAGTAGAGAATACTCCTTGAGGATCTAATTGTAATCGTTCTGCACTTTATGTATTTTTATAGAAATATCTTTCAACTGCATGCAGTTCATATAGAAATAGAATTTACATATTTAATGTTTTTTATCTCATTAAAACATATGACCACCTCATGTTGATAATGGCAGGGGTGATTGGTAGAGAAAAAATTTGTTAAAGTCATGAAATAATTGAACCAGAAAGGAATCAATATAGCCTGTCCCACTCATTTATAGATGAATACACCTTAGTATACAAAGGAGTGCTGTGAAAAACAAGATTAGCATTTGTTGAGGAGGATTTTTCCTTCGTACTTTGCAAATTACCTCAAAGCAGAATTTACCCTAACTACTCCAAGCCTCTGAGAATCTCACATATTCCCAAAGACATGGTGGGTCTATCTGACTGATGGATTGGAAATAAGGATCTGAGACTAAGGTTCGCCATCACTTTCCCTTTTCCCGAGCTAGGTTGCTTGTACCACCAGAAACATCCACAAAATAATTTTAGCCTTATGTATTTAGTACTAACCAAAAATCACATATTTTAGACATATGCGTTAAGTTCGCCATGTAGAAGAATCTCTGACTGATCAGGGCTGCTTATGACGGTTTTTGTAAATCTGAAATTCACTACTGAAAAAGCCACTCTTGTTGTCCAACTAAACCACATTCCCCAGTGTCAGTTGTATCACTAATAAAGATGACAAATTGTTGTCAATTGCTTATTTATGTCCAAATCATTTAGGCCTCAGGTCTTCCTCAACTACCAACCGGATGTATTTTATTAATATTTGTGTGTGTGTGTGTGTGTGTGTGTGTGTGTGTGTGTGTGTCTGTGTGTCTGTCTGTGTGTCTGTTTCTGTATAGGAGACTAAATGTATATCTGTATGAAAAAGAGTATAATGGTCAGGTGAGCACTCTAAAAAGAGTAAAGAAGTACGCTGATTATGTTTGCAGCAATTTATAATTAAGGGTGCCAAATAAAATAAACATACTCAGTTAACTTTGAATTTTAGAAAATCAATAACAACATCGCAATGTGTTTCGAAGTGTATTTCATTTATTATTTACCTGAAATTCAAATTTTTTTGCTAACTGTCGCAGAACTACCTATCATAATTTTGTTTTCAATAATAATAAAATGCTATTAAAAATAATGACCAGTAAATACTATGTGGTGAGAATTCGCTTCCTGGATATTAACCTTCATGTTTTTAAAAAAACAACCCTGTTTAAATTGGCTATTCTGGAGCACACAGAGAAGAGAGAATACTAACTGATACCTTTAGATACGTAATTGAGGAATTTATTTTACGTAAAATTAACAGGCAAGAAATCCTTGAAAATAAGCATGAAAATCATTTCACTAAGAAAATCTATCACTCTCACCTTTGCTTCACTGAGGAGGAGAATCTTTGCTGAATTGATGATACCATCAAATTGCTCAAGAAAGTTTCTTTCATTCCTATCAATCACTGTTTAATCTTAAATGTCAGAAAATCTGTTATCAAAAACAAGTAATAAACAAGTTCTCTAAATGCACAAATGCAAAATAAACTCAGTATCAAGTGGCCCCACATTTCTTCAAAATGAAGTTGCAAACAAGAGGTTTCCTATTTTTACTAACTTGTAAATTTGGATGTTTAATAATGTACATGAGATAATCAAAACAAATACATGCTATATTAGTTATGCATATGTGTTTAATTCAATATTTCATAACATATTAATTTAGGGATGGCTTTTTTCCCAGTTACATTTAGTGAAAATAATTTTATTCAAACTCATATATCTATTAATGCTATCATTATCATTAGAGAACATTTCTAAATCACCCAACAGCATTTTTCAGAGGGGCTTCAAGATTGTTTCTTCAAGATTGTTTTAACAACACTTTTTTTCATTTTATTGGTCCATATACATGAGTCTTTGGTCTATCTTTCACTGGTGTCTAATCTTCTTCTGTATTTTTTATTTTTCTCCATAATGCATTCTTGGTGAATCAGTGCTACAACAGCTTTATTATTTTTCTCTGAAATAGCATCTGAGGTTTATTCCTTTAATTTAAAAAATTTTTTGTGGTTATGTTTTTTAACTCCAAAAAATTTTCACCTACATTTTTCTTGAATCATTTATGCCTGTTTTGATTTCATAATTGCTTAGTCTTTTTGCTTTTCCAGTTGCGTGTAAGTAAATAGTCATGTAGCAAAAATGAAATAGTAAAACAGGTCTTTAATTGATTTTTAATGAGGAGATAAGTCTTCTGGCTGGTTGTAATATGGAATGAAATACTCATTTGGCAAATACACAGATGTCATTATAACTTTCTAGTATGAGTTCTGGAGCAGGGATAAAATAAAGCACTGTGAAAACTTTCTCACCTTTACCTTTAGCACGTGCCCAAGTAGACTCGTCTTCCTCCTTGCTCTTCATCTCTCTGAGAAGAGTTATCACTTTTCAGGCTGTTGCTGGACTTTGATGATGATAAACTAGGGGCCTGGAAAAGATGCAGGAATAAAATGGGATCAGAAAGATAATGAGTGAAAGCACTAGAAAAGGGAGAAAACATTCTCTAGAAATTAAAATTATGTGTAAAACAAGAAGCTCAGGCAAAGAAAGAAAGCAAAAAGATCCGAGGCTAGTTGTGTGAAGGAGTTTTGAGAATTTTGTTTGTGAGATGGTCAAAAGAGTTTTTGTTTGTTTGTTTGTTTTTGTTTTTGTTTTTGTTTTTTCGAGACAGAGTCTCGCTCTGTCGCCCAGGCTGGAGTGCAGTGGCGCGATCTCGGCTCACTGCAAGCTACGCTTCCCGGATTCGCGCCATTCTCCTGCCTCAGCCTCCCGAGTAGCTGGGACTACAGGCGCCAGGACTACTGGCTAATTTTTTGTATTTTTAGTAGAGACGGGGTTTCACCATGTTAGCCAGGATGGTCTTGATCTCCTGACCTTGTGATCCGCCCACCTCGGCCTCCCAAAGTGCTGGGATTACAGGTGTGAGCCACCGCGGCCGGCCTCGAAAGAGAATATTGAAGAGGAAAAGAATAAGGCTTTAAAGATGTTTGTGAAATACTATTTAAACATTTTTAAAGTGTGGGTAATTAATGGAGTTATGATCCATTACTCTTGGCTTTTAAATGTACCTCACAAATAGTAGGCCACAGGAGTCCTGGATATTATTAGGGATATATTACTAAACATTATTTGTCACTATGGTAGTTTAGGGTATTATGGTTTAATTATTTTTTGTTTAACATTATGCTAGTTTCTGATGCTACAACTGAAAATATAAAATACCGAAACTACTGAAGATTTTCATTTGAGGTTATCTAAGCAGTATTCTCTTCTTCCCCAACTCAGATATATATATATACACACACACACACACACACACACACACATATACGTATATGTATTTATTTAAATTTACTTCAGACTTATGAAATTACAAACAGTTTATCCTGAGTGATATATAAATATTTGTGCCTTAAACAGAATTTATTTAGCTTCAGTCAACTTCTCTACTCATGGTAGGTTCTTCCCTGCTAATGGCTAAATTGGCAGGGTGGATATATGCCACTTATTCTTTTGGAATGTGTGTTAAAATTGTGATAAAATAGTGAAAGAAACAAAAGCAATAAAATAATAGAGCATGATGGCAATAGAGGAAGCGAGATGGGGGAATCCACTGAGCTAGGATGGTCTAGACTTGGCTTCTCTGAAGAGCTGACATTCAAACTATGAATGATGAGAGAGAGGCAACATTAAGACCATGAGGAGAATTGTGTTTCAAAAACAAAGAGACAAGATATTCAAGGAAAAGAGTTTGTCATATTTGAGGAATTAGAAGAGACTAATGTAGCTGGACTGTAATAGTAATCATGTAGAGAGGCATGCAAGAAATGTGAGGAAGTGGAAAGTGATTGATTATGCAACAGCTATTTGGTTAAGTTTAGAGTTTTAAAAAACTTATTTCTGGCCAGGCGCGGTGCCTCAAGCCTGTTAATCCCAGCACTTTAGGAGGCTGGCACAGGGGGATCACCTGAGGTCAGGAGTTCCAGACCAGCCTGGCCAACATGGTGAAACACCATTTCTACTAAAAGTACAAAATTTAGCCAGGGATGGTGGCAGGCGTCTGTCGTCCCACTTACATGGGAGGCTGAGGCGGAAGAATCGCTTGAACCTGGGAGGCCGAGGTTGCATTGAGCCGAGATCCCGCCATTGCACTCCAGCCTGGGCGACAAGAGTGAGACTTCATCTCAAAAACAAAACAAAAGAAAACAAAATGTATTTCTATCATGATTTTATTTTAAGTATACCAGGAAGAGGTTGAAGAGTTTTTTATAGATAGAAGTTACTGTATAAAAATTCAAGGTAATTGATAAAGTCTGTCAGTGTGATAAAAACACCAAATGATTTCAAATTCAAGATTTCAGGATAAAAATTCTGCCTTTACTTGAATGACTAAGTCACGCAAATGTGATATTACTTATTTTCTTTATTTTGAAAGTGGTGGGTTATATTATGTGGTACCTAATTTCTTGTGATAGGAGAGCATGGTAAAATCAGTCAGTAATTTGCTGTCTGGTGAAATGATCAACCTTTGAATAAACTGAGCAGGTACGAAAGAGTCACTTACTCTTTTTGAGGAGTCATTTCCTGGGGCTGCTCTTTGTGAAGCTGTTACTCCAAATGGTGCTTATTATTTATATTAACTTTTAAATAAGCAACTACATATTTCATTTAAAACAAAATATTTACAGTGTTTAAAACAAAGTATGTACACTGATTTCTATAAAGTAAATATCTACTACGGATGACTTATGGGAAATCAAGTTGAGATTATATACAGTGGTAGATTATTCTTAAGCTTTCTTTGAATTCTGAATTTCTTTGTTATAAAAACATTTCTTCCTGTCATTCTCTCTGCTATATCCAGATATGGTACCAACATTTGGATATTGAATTTTGTATTTAGCATCTTAAAAATGTTAATTGAAGTTTTAAATTAGCACAGGTGCTGGGGAAAACAAGTGTCTGGTTATTTTCCAGCCGTGCTGGAATCTAACGAAAGCTATGAAGCCATACTGAGAAATATGCAAATATATTTTTATAAAATTTCAGGGGTTCATGAACTCTTTGAAGCCTTTTCATAGGCCCTCCATATGCAACCCCTGTGGGGTGAATAAGAGCCCAGAATAAGTACACAGCAAGATATAATCTGTGATTCTCAAAACTGGCTTCTGCCCTAAATTTAATATTTTTAATTAAAAATACATTCTGTTAATTTTTTCTTCATACTGTAACTGAAAATATTAAAAGTGCTACAATGAGAAAGTAAGAGTGAACTAACTGTTAATTGAGAATTCAAATAGAGGAGTTTTGTGACAATCCAGAAGTGTTAGCAAAGGTCATTTTAAACATGGGTTCAGTTGTTTTCTCTCCCATCATATTGACTAAAGGAACCTTATCTTCTACCTAGTTAAAATTGATTGAAATAGACATAAATTGACATAAATCTGTCTTTTTTTGACTTGGTAATGTTTTTATGCATTTCTTTAAAATTGATGTTATCAACATGCAAAATCCTTTTAGGAATGCAGACCTCAAAAAGATGGCCACCATTTTTTCTCCCAAGGTAAATTACTGTATTTACAACTGTACTTGTTTTCCATATTTATCACTGCTATCTTTTATGTGCAAGTAAGCCAACATATTTTTAGGTTAATAACTAAATTGGAAAGAAACAGTGTTGAAGGTATTTAGATTTGCAGTGAAGTATGGTAAGATAGCAATAGACTGTTGGCAGCCTTTCTAGTTTCTTCAGAAAATGGAAGTAAATATACAAAGTACTGCAGTTTACACTTATAGATTTGTTAACATATTATAATTCTTTGAACAATCCACTGTGGTAGTCGTTGTTGTCCATTGGCCTTGAGTATGAAGTGTAAGCTCTCTGAGTTTCAGTATTCTCATCTGAAAATTGAGTACAATCACACCTCGGTGGGTTGTTCACAAGATTATAATGAGATAACGCATCTCTTGCTGACTAACCAGTGACTCTGTCCATTATTGCTTCTTGTGCAGGCAGTAGCCACAGAGAAATTTGAACTATTGGACTCAAAGTTGGGTGACTCATCTGTGGAAAGCAAGCTGAGATTATTTGAGAGCATATGAGTGATAGGCCACATGTGAACAGCCAACAGAAGCGGGCGATAGTGAAGTCAAAGCAGACAGCATCACCTCCTCTTATGGGCACCTGTCTAAAATGTTACCAGGGATATGGGCAAGCCGCGAGCAGTGCTCTCATGTTGACAGCTCTCATGCGTCTTCAGCAAATGAAGTATAAATGTAAAAGAAAATCAGGTTCGAAGTAAAAGCTCCAGTAAAATAAACAGCAATCACTAAAATGGTCTACTAAACCATCTGAAATTCTCTCATTTAGAGCCAGAGGTCTGGATTGTCTAAACATTGATTATTTAAGACATTTCATTTAATTCATTAATCATATATAACTTACATCTTAGAATTTAGAGATTGTCAGCTATAGAGTAATTTAGGGACATAATCTGCGAAGAGATCAGAGTATTCTCTTCCACAAATTTCAGATATATTTTTATGTCAAAATTATATTCTCTTTTGCCACATTCTAAATATTAAAAAATATGTTTGGTGACTTTTCAGGACTTGAAATTAATGGTTAATGAATAGAAGGCATCTTTGTTTTTTTTTGAGATGGAGTCTCGCTCTGTCACCCAGGCTGGAGTGCAGTGGCGTGATCTCACTGCAACGTCCACCTCCCAGGTTCAAGCAATTCTGCCTCAGCCTCCCAAGTAGCTGGGACTACAGGCACACACCAGTGCACCCAGCTAATTTTTTTTTTTTTTTTTTTTAGCAGAGACTGGGTTTTACCATGTTGATCAGGCTGGTCTCGAACTCCTGACCTCAGGTGATCCACCCATCTCGGCCTCCCAAAGTGCTGGGATTACAGGTGTGAGCCACTGCGCCCGGCCCTAAATAGTGGACATCTTAATTATAAAATGGCATACTTATTGTATTAGACCATTTCCACACTGCTCTAAAGAAATGTCCAAGACTGGGTAATTTATACAGGAAAGAGGTTTAATTGATTCACAATTCTGCATGGCTGGGGAGGCCTCAGAAAACTTACAATGATGGCAGAAGATGAAGGAGAGGCAAGTACCTTCCTCACAAGGTGGCAGGAGAGAGAGAGAGCAGGGGGAAACTGCGAAACTGCCGTTGATAAAACCATCAGATCTTATGAGAGTTCACTCAGTAACATGAGAACAACGTAGGGAAAACCATCCACATAATCCAGTCACCTCCCATCAAGTTCCTCCATCAACACCTGGGGATTACAATTCAGATTACAATTCAAGATGAGATTTGAGTGAAGACAAGCAGCCAAACCATGTTATTCCTCCCCTGATGCCTCCCAAATTTCATATCCTCACATTTCAAAACACAGTCAGGCCTTCTCAACAGTCCCCAAAAGTCTTAACTCATTCCATCATTAACTAAAAAGTCCAAGTCCAAGGTCTCATCTGAGACAAGTATCTTCCATCAATGAGTTCGTAAAATCAAAAACAAGTTATTTACATTCAAGATGCGATGGGGATATAGGCATTGGGTAAATTCTCCCATCCCAAATAGAAGAAATTGCCCAAAAGCAAAGGGGTCAAAGGCCCCACACAAGTCTAAAACCTGGCAGGACAGTCATTAAATCTTAAAGCTCTGAAATTATCTCCTTTGACTCCATGTCTCACATCCAGGGCATGAGGATGCACAAGGTAGACTCCCACGGTCTTGGGCAGCTAAGCTTCTGTGGCTCTGCAGGGTACAGCCCCCGTTGCTGCTTTCACAGGCTGGTGTTGAGTGCCTGTGGCTTTTCTTTGCTCATGGTGCAAGCTGTTGGTGGATCTAACATTCTGGGGTCTGGAGGATGGTGGCCATCTTCTCACAGCTCCAATAGGAAGTGCCTCAGTGGGGACTCTGTGTAGGGGCTTCAACCCCATATTTCCCCTCTGCGTAGCCCTAGTAGAGGTTCTCCATGAAGGCTCTGCCTCTGCAGCAGACTTCTGCCTGGACATCCTGGCATTTTTATACATCCTCTGAAATGAAATCTAGGCAGAGGTTCCCAAAGCTCAACTCTTGTCTTCTGCACACCTGCAGGCCCAATACCAAATGGAAGCTAACAAAGCTTGGCCTGAGCTGTACCTTGGCCCCTTTTAGCTATACCTGGGGCTGAAGCAGCTGGGATGCAGGGCACCAAGTCACCAAGTCCTGAGGCTGCATAGAACAGCGCCCCCCACTGACCCCCACTGCCACAAAATCATTTTTCCTTCCTAGGCCTCTGGACCTGTGATGGGAGGGGCTGCTGCCAAGAGCTCTGATGTGCCCTGGAGACACTTTCCCCATTGTCTTGGTTATTAACATTCAGCTCCTCATTACATATGCAAATTTCTGCAGCTTACTTGAATTCCTCCCCGGAAAATGGGTTTGTCTTTTCTATAACATGGTCAGGCTGCAAATTTTTCAAACTTTTATATTTTGCTTCCCTTTTAAACATAAGTTCCAATATCAGATCATATCTCTCAAGTTCAAAGTTCCATAGATGTCTAGGGCAGGGGGAAAATGCCACCAGTCTCTTTGCTAAAGCATAGCAAGAGTGACCTCTGCTTCAGCTCCCAATAAGTTCCTCATCTCCATCTGAGACCATGTCAGCCTGGACTTCGTCATTCATATCACTATCAGCATTTTGTTTAAAACCATTCAAGAAGTCTCTAGGAAGTTCCAAACATTCCCACAGCTTCCTGTCTTCTTCTGAGCCCTCCAAAATGTTCCAGTCTCTGCCTGTTACCTAGTTCCAAAGTTGCCTTCACATTTTCTGGTTATCTTTATAGCACTACCCCTCTTACTGGTACCAATTCTCTGTATTATTTCATTTTTACACTGCTATAAAGAAATACTTGAGACTGGGTGATTTATAAAGGAAAGGGGCTTAATTGGCTCACAATTTTACATGGCTGGAGAGGCCTCAGGAAACTTACAATCATGGCACAAGGCTAAGGGGAAGCAAGTACCTTCCTTACATTGTGGCAGAAGAGAGAGAGAGAGAGCAGAAACTGCCATTGATAAAACCATCAGATCTCATGAGAATTCACTCTGTATCATGAGAATAGGTGTATATATTTGTGGGGTACATGAGATGTTTTGATACAGGCATGCAATGTGAAATAATCACATTATGAAGAATGGAGTATCCCTTACCTTAAACATTTATCCTTTGCTTTAGAAACAATCCAATTCTACTAGATTAGTTATTTTTAAATGAACAATTAAGTTATTATTATTATTCTGAGACGGAGTTTTGCTCTTGTTGCCCAGGCTGGAGTACAGTGGTGCAATCTCGGCTCACTGCAACCTCTGCCTTCCGAGTTCAAGCAATTCTCCTGCCTCAGCCTCCTGAGTAGCTAGAATTACAGGCATGCGCCACCATGCCCGGCTAATTTTGTATTTTTAGTAGAGACGGGTTTCATCCTGTTGGCCAGGCTGGTCTCAAACTCCTGACCTCATGTGATCCTCCTGCCTCGGCCTCACAAAGTGCTGGGATTACAGGTGTGAGCCACTGCGCCCAGCCAACAATTAAGTTATTAATGACTATAGTCATCATGTTGTGTGGATCAAATAGTATGTATTATTCACTCTTTCTAACTAATTTTTTGTACCCATTAATCATCCCCACCTTCCCTTCAGCCCCCTACCACCCTTCCAGCCTCTGATAACCATCCTTCTACTCTATATGTTCATGAGTTCAACTCTTGATTTTTAGATCCCACAAATAAGTAAGAACATGCAATGTTTGTCTTCCTGTGTCTGGGTTATTTCATTTAACATAATGATTTCCAGCTTCATTGGTGTTGTTACAAATGACTGGATCTCATTCTTTTTTTATGGCTGAATAGTTTTGCATTGTTTATATGGACCAGATTTTCTTTATTCATTCATCTGCTGATGGACACTTAGGTTGCTTCCAAATCTTAGAGATTGTAAACAGTGCTGAAACAAACATAGGTGTGCAGGTATCTCTTTGATATACTGATTTCCTATCTTGTGGATGTATACCCAGCAGTGGGATTGTTATATCATATGGTAGCTTCATTTTTAGCTTTTTGAGAGACCTCCAAACTGTTCTCCACAGTGGTTGTACTAATTTCTATTCCTACCAACAGTGTATGAGGGTTTCCTTTTCTTCACATCCTCACCAGCATTATCTTTCCCAATAGACAGGCAACATCTGAAGCTGGTGATAAGCAGCTTTCCAATAAGATCTCAGGAGTTGGTCAAGTGGACTCAAGCATGCACACTAACAGGAAACATGGTGGAGTTTAATTGGTATATGACCTTCCTCTAGGAATGCTTGACTCATAAGAGAAAAATGACTGAAATATGCATGCACACAACTTCAGTAAACACATTGTGCATGTGGCCCCTCCCAGGTGCTGGCAGGTTTCTGTGCATGCGGATAGCCTGCCTCAAGAAAAAATCAAGGGAGGAGAGATTCAATACCCCAGAAGCATGCCAACCTATAAAAACCCAAGTCATAGGTCAAACCAGGCGCTTGAATCTCTCTAGTTACCTGTCTCACGTGTCCGTGTGAAGAGACCACCAAACAGGCTTTGTGTGAGCAACATGGCTATTTATTTCACCTGGGTGCAGGCGGGCTGAGTCCAAAAAGAGAGTCAACAAAGAGTGGTGGATTATCATTAGTTCTTATAGGTTTTGGGATAGGTAGTGGAGTTAGGAGCAATGTTTTGTGGGCAGTGGGTGGATCTCACAAAGTACATTCTCAAGATTGGGGAGAATTACAAAGAACCTTCTTAAGGGTGGGGGAGATTATAAAGTACATTGATCAGTTACGGTTGGGCAGAAACAAATTACAATGGTGGAAAGTCATCAGTTAAGGCTATTTTCACTTCTTTTGTGGATCTTCAGTTGCTTCAGGCCATCTGGATGTATACATGCAGGTCACAAGGGATAAGATGGCTTAGCTTGGGCCCAGAGGCCTGACATTCCTGTCTTCTCATATTAATAATAAAAATAAAATGAAACAGTGGTAAAGTGTTGTGGCAGTGAAAATTTTTGGGGGTGGTATGGAGAGATAATGGGTGATGTTTCTCAGGCTGCTTCAAGTGGGATTGGGGCAGCGTGGGAACCTAGAGTGGGAGACATTAAGCTGAAGGAAGATTTTGTAGTAAGGGGTGATATTGTGGGGTTGTTAGAAGGAGTATTTGTCATATAGAATTATTGTTGATGGCCTGGATGCAGTTTTGTGTGATGCAGTTTTGAGAAACTAAACGAAAGACACAAGGTCCGAATAAGAGAAGGAGAAAGGCAGGTATTAAAGGACTAAGAATTGGGAGTACCCAGGACATCCAATTAGAGAGTGTCCAAGGGGGTTCAACGTTATTGTTTGCTTGGTTGGCGAGTTTTGGGGCTCTATCCTTGAGTTTTTTTAAGTTGTCATATACCAGGCCAGATTGATTTTAGGTAAAAACAACCCTCTTCATTTAAAAATATACAGAGTCCTCTTTTTTTTTTTTTTAGCAGTGAGTAAGTCGAGGCCTCAGCAATTTTGGAGGAAAGAGAAATGCAAAGCCAGCAATTGTTTGTTAAAGAAGGATTAGAAACAGCTAGGAGAGAGTGACTGAGATTGATAGTGTGGTGGAGATAGCTGGGAAGACATAGAGGGTGGCATAAGAAGGGGAACCAGAATAAGAGTGAGTATAAAAGTAAAGAATAGGACTTCATCAGGGTGAAAGTATTGGAGTGTACTTTGTCACTGAAGATCTTATATCCACTTATAGAGAGACTTAAGGGTGGCAGTTTGAGGTAAAACCAGGTGCCACTGAATAGCAAGAGCCTGAGAAACTGCTTGGGTGATTTGACTAGTAAAAGCCGGTCCGTTATCGGACTGTATAGAGGTGGGAAGGCCAAACCGAGGAATTATGTCTGACAGAAGGGAAGAAATGACTGTGGTGGCCTTCTCAGACCCTGTGGAAAAGGCATCTACCCATCCAGTGAAAGTGTCTACCCGGACCAACAGGTATTTTAGTTTCCTGACTCGAGGCATGTGAGTAAAGTCAATTTGTCAGTCCTGGGCAGGGGTAAATCCCTGAGCTTGATGTGTAGGAAAGGGAGGGGGCCTGAACAATCCCTGAGGAGTAGTAGAATAACAGATGGAACAACTGAGAAGTGATTTCCTTGAGGATAGATTTCCACAATGGAAAGGAAATGAGTGGTTCTAAGAGGTGGGCTAGCATCTTGTAACCTACATGGAAGAGGTTATGAAATGACAACAGAATAGAACGGGCCTGTGAGGCTGGCAGGAGATATTTTCCTTGGTCCAAGAACCATTTGCCTTGTGTGGGAAGAGATCGATAGGTGGAAGTTTCATTTGGGGAGTAGGTGGGAGTGACCAGATGAGAAGGAGAAAAACTGCTGTGAGGGATAGAAGTTGAAACACTAGCTGCTTTTTTAGATACCTTATCAGCATAAGCATTGTCCTGAGCAATGGGATCTGATGCCTTTTGGTGGCCCTTGCAGTGTATGACTCCAGCTTCCTTTGGAAGTAAAGCAGCCTTGAGAAGAATTTTTATCGAAGAGGCATTAATGATGGAGGACCCTTGTGTAGTGAGGAAACCTCTTTCAGCCCATTTAACAGCATGGTGGTGCAGGATATGGAAGGCAAATTTAGAGTCAGTATAAATATTGATGCATAGTCCCTTTGCAAGGGTGAGGGCTCGAGTTAAGGCAATGAGTTTGGCTTGCTGAGAGGTGGTGGAGGCGGGGCAGAGTGGTAGCCTCAATGATAGATGTGGAAGATACTGTAGCATAGCCTGCCTTTGCTAGTGAGTGGCGATTAGGCCTGGTGGAACTGCCATCAATAAACCAAATGTGATCAGGGCGAGGAACAGGGAAGAAGGAAATATGGGGAAATGGGGTGAATGTCAGGTGGATCAGAGAGATACAGTCATTGGGGTCAGGTGTGGTATCCAGAATAATGTGGGAGGCCGGATTGAAGTCCGGGCCAGGAACAATGGTAACTGTGGGAGACTCAACAAAGAGTGAGTATAGCTGAAGGAGCCAGGGAGCAGAAAGTATATGTGTCAGATGTGGGGAAGGAATAGATTTTGGAAGTTATGAGAGCTGTAGAGAGTGAGTTGAGCATAATTTGTGATTTTGAGGGCCTCTAAAAGTATTAGGGCGATGGCAGCCACTGCACGGAGACATGATGGCCAGCCTAAAACAGTAAGGTCAAGTTGTTTGGACAAAAAGGCTACAGGACGTGGTCCCAGTCCTTGTGTAAGAATTCCAACTGCACAGCCCTGCACTTCAGCTGTGTGTAATGAAAAGGGTTGGGATGAGTCAGGGAGAGCTAGTGTGGGGGCAGTCTCTAAAGCTGTCTTTAAGGAACGGAAAGAGGAGTGAGGAAAGGATTTAAGATCTATGGGGTCAGCTAGGTTTCCTTTTGTGAGTTTATGTAATGGTTTTGTTAGGATGGCAAAACCAGGTATCCAAAGGTGAAAGTATCCAACCATGCCTAGGAAGGAAAGGAGTTGTTGTGTTGTAGAAGGTGTTGGGGTTTGAGAGATCAGTTAGACATGATCAGCAGGGAGAGCACATGTGTTTTTATGAAGAATTATGCCGAGGTAGGTAATGGATGGAGAAGAAATTTGAGCTTTAGAGGGGGATACCCAATATCCTTTGGAGAATTAATGTTGAAGGAGCAAGAGGGTGTCTCGTTGAGAAGAGTCAAAGGAGGGGCTACAAAGTAGGTCATCAATAAATTGAATAAGGTGAGAAGCAGAGGGGTGGAAAGAAAGCAAATCATGAGAAAGAGCTTGGCTGAAGTAATGAGGGCTATCCCTGAAGCCTTGTGGCAGCACAGCCCAGGTAAGCTGCTGGGACCGATGGGTGTCAGGGTCAGTCCAGGTAAAAGCAAAGAGAGGCTGGGACGAGGGGTGCAGGGGAATAGTGAAAAAAACATCTTTAAGATCAAGAACGGAATAGTGAGTTGTGGAGGAAGGTATTGAGGGCAAAAGAGTGTACAGGTTGGGCACTACAGGGTGGATAGGCAAAACGATTTGGTTGATAAGGTGCAGATCCTGAACTAACCTGTAAGACTTGTCCAGTTTTTGGACAGGTAAAATGGGGAAATAGTAAGGAGAGTTTATAGGTTTTAGAAGCCCATGTTGTAACAGGCAAGTGATAACAGGCTTTAATCCTTTTAAAGCATGCTGTGGGATGGGATATTGGCATTGAGTGGGGTAAGGGTGATTAGGTTTTAATGGGGTGGTAATGGGCATGTGATTGGTTGCCAGGGAGGGAGTAGAGATGTCCCATACTTGTGGGTTAAGCTAGGGGGCTATGAGAGGAAGATGCAAAGGAGGCTTTGGGTCGGAAGAAGGGCAGCAATGAGATGTGGCTGTAGTGCAGGAATAGTCAGGGAAGCAGATAATTTGGTTAAAATTCCTCAGCCTAATAAGGGAACTGGGCAGGTAGGGATAAATAAAAAAGAGTGCATAAAATAATGTTGTCCAGGTTGGCACCAGAGTGAGGCAGTTTTAAGGGTTTTGAAGCTTGGCCATCAATACCCACAAAAGTTATGGGGGCAAAGGAACAGGCCTTTGAAAAGAAGGTAATGTGGAGTGGGTAGCCCCGTATCGATTAAACAGGAGATGGATTTACCCTCCACTGTGAGAGTTACCCAAAGCTCAGTGTCTGTGATGGTCCAGGGGGCTTCCGAGGTGATCAGGCAGCGTCAGTCTTCAGCTGCTAAGCTGAGCAGATCTGGGAAGGAGTCAGAGAGCCTTGGGCTAGAGCTTTAGGAGCTCTAGGAGTGGCTGCTGGGCAAGCTGGGCAGTCTGATTTCCAGTGGGTCCCTGCACAGATGGGACACGGCTTGGGAGGAATTGTGGGCTGTGGGTATTCCTTGGCCCAGTGGCCAGATTTCTGGCACTTGAAGCAAGATCCTGATGGAGGAAGTCTTGTAGGAATGTGTGACTGCTGCAGCTTAGGCGTGTGTGGCTTAGGCATTTTGACGTTCTTGTGTGCTGGAGGTGCAGCTGGGTTTTGTCTCACAGCAGAGGCAAGTAATTGTAACTCAGAAATGCGTTGTCATCTGGCTGCCTCCTCTCTATTATTGTACAGCTTGAAGGCAAGGTTGATTAATTCCTGTTGTGGGGTTTGAGGGCCGGATTCTAATTGTTGAAGTTTTTTCCTAATGTCAGGAACGGATTGGGTGATATAATGCATATTAAGAATAAGGCGGCCTTCTGACCCCTCTGGGTCTAGGGCAGTAAAGCGTCTAAGGGTTGCTGCTAAGCGGGCCATGAACTGGGCTGGGTTTTCATCTTTACCTTGGGTAGTTTCTTTAAGCTTGTCATAATTAACAGCTTTGTAAGCTGCCTTTTTAAGCCCTTCAACTAGGCAGGAAATCATGTAATCTCGCCTAGCTATACCTGGGCAATCTGCCTGATAGTTCCACTGGGGGTCCCCTCGGGGAACTGCTCTAATGCCTTCTTGGAGGTATGGCTCGTGGAGCCGGTGGTTGTCAGCGTGAGATTGGCTAGAGAAAAAACTCTTTCCCATTCATCTGGGGAGAGGGTAGAAGTTAGGATGACATTTAAGTCACTCCAGGTTTAATTGTAGGACAGAGTTAGATATCGGAATTCCTGTATAAATTTAGTGGGGTCTGATGAGAAAGAGCCTAAAAGCTGGCTGATTTGGGAAAGGTCTGATAAAGAAAAACGCACATGTACCCTGACTATGCCTTCAGCTCCAGCCACCTCTTTAAGAGGAAATTTTTGGGCAGGTGGGGGAGAGCTAGTCACAGAACGAAACTATAAACCATACCGGGTGTGGGGAAAGGAGGTAATAGAAGGGTTATAGGGTGGGGGAGCAGAGGCTGAAGAAGAGTCGGAGCCTGATTCAGCCTGGCGGGGAGCAACCTGAGGAGGAGCAGTCTGGGGAGGAGTTGAGAGGTCAGATGGGTCAGTAGAAAAGGAAGATTCACAAGACTCAGCAACACTTGGGGTTGGGACTGAGGGGACAGGCAGGAGGGAAAGAAGGAGGATTTGGGATGAGTCACATTGGAAAGAGAGACTAGGGAGGGACCGATGTGTAAAAGAATGCCTGGACATCAGTTACCTCAGACCATTTGCCCATTTTACGACAAGAATTATTTAGATCTTGTAGGATGGAAAAATCGAAAGTGCCATTTTCTGACTACTTGGAACGACTGACTGTCCAGTTTGTATTGGGGTCAAGCGGCATTGCAGAAGAAAATAAGGTGTTTAGGTTTTAGGTCAGGTGAGAGTCGAAGAGGTTTTAAGTTCTTGAGAACACAGGCTAAGGGAGAAGAAGGAGGAATGGAGGGTGGGAGGGGTTGCCCATAGTGAAGGAGGCAAGTTTAAAGAGAAGGGTAGAGACACAGAGAGAAGGGGTTAGGGGTGCTTGCCCCCCAGGAAAGTGGAGAACGGGTGGGGAATGGAGAGAAGGGGTGGGGGGTGTTTGTCCCCCAGGAAAGTGGAGAAGGGGTGGGGAGTGGTTGCCCCCCAGGAAAGTGGAAAAGGGGTAGAGACAAGGAGAGAAGGGGTCGGGGGGTACTTGCCCCCCAGAAAAGCAGTGCTTGCCGCTAAGGGTGAAAGACCAAGGCAGGCGTCCCCACGTCGTCGGACACCTCTGAAATGTGAGTGAATAATCAGGCAGGTGTTCCCGCAATGATTAAACACCAAGGGAAGGCTGCCTTCCCGGGTCTGTAACCAGCACTGGAGTTTTGGGTCCACGGATAAAATGTGTCTCCTTTGTCTCTACCAGAAAATGAAAGGAATTGAAATTAAGAGAAGGGAGAGATTGAAGGATGTCACCAAGATTGAAAGGAGAAAGAGGTTGAGGGATAGTGAGAGAGGTTGGAGAAGAGAGTAAAAAGAGGCTGCTTACCTGATTTAAAATCGGTGAGATGTTCCTTGGGCTGGTTGGTCTGAGGACCTGAGGTCATAGGTGGATCTCTTCATGGAATGAGGGTGAGGATAGGGACTGGTCTCCCGAAGGAGTGCTGCTGACCTGGGTCTTTGGCACCAAATGTCTCACATGTCCATGTGAAGAGACCACCAAACAGGCTTTATGTGAACAACAAGGCTGTTTATTTCACCTGGGTGCAGGCAGGCTGAGTCCAAAAAGAAAGTCAGCAAAGGGTGGTGGATTATCATTAGTTCTTATAGGTTTTGGGATAGGCGGTGGAGTTAGGAGCAATGTTTTGTGGGCAGGGGGTGGATCTCACAAAGTACATTCTCAAGGGTGGGGAGAATTACAAAGAACCTTTTTAAGGGTGGGGGAGATTACAAAGTACATTGATCAGTTAGGATTGGGCAGAAACAAATTACAACGGTGGAATGTCATCAGTTAAGGCTATTTTCACTTCTTTTGTGGATCTTCAGTTGCTTCAGGCCATCTGGATGTGTACATGCAGGTCACAAGGGATAAGATGGCTTAGCTTGGGCTCAGAGGCCTGACATTACCCACTTGTCCCCCTTCCAAATTCATTTTATTTCCTTTCATTCCTGCTCTAAAATTTTGAGTAAACTTTCACTACTGCTCTAAAACTTGCCTTAGTCTCTCTGCCTTGTGCCCCTCGGATGAATTCCTTCCTCTGAGGAGGCAAGAATCAAGTTGCTGTAGACCTGTAAATATTCACCACTGCTAACAGACTTGTGGAGTGGCTTGAGCCTGCGTGCCTGCAGCTCTGTCTACTGAGTGAATTGGAAGTACTAAGGAGAATTGCCTCCTTAACTCCTTGTACCTTATGGCTTTTGTGATTGAAATAGCATCAGTAAAAGCCTGACATTGTGGAAGGATACAAACATGTGTGGACCCAGTTGTCTCTAATCTTGCACCACTCATGACAGTTTCATATGCAAAAGATTCATTCCCTAATTACCACCCAGTCTCTCAGAATATGTGATACCTGCAAAAAGCCATTTCTGTTGGGAAGAAATGGAGAGTTTTATTGTAATTTTAATTGATATGCGGTAGAACAAACATTATTATCTCTACCACAGTTATGTAATGCAATGAAGGCGTTGTATGTTTACCTTTGTGGCTACAAAATATTGTGAGTCTTAATTTCCCAATTAATGTCATATCTAGGAAACCTGCTTTGCTTATGCCTCATGATTACTTGTATCCTGGTAATTATTGGTAAAGCCTGGGTAAGATCCCTGATTTGCATGAATCTCATTTGATGAACTAATCCTCCTTTTGTTTTAGTGCCAGACTTTGCTTTGATCATTGTGGTCAACTTGTATCATGATTCCAGTGTAGATTCATATTTTACCTATAAATATAACTTAAAAAATTGGTTAGGGTGATTCAAATACAAGTAAGTTATGAAAGTGTCATTAGTTTTTTACTATTTATTCACACATCTACATCCACATGTGTCTGCATGCACAAACACACACACCATGGAATATACTTTAAATCCTTTAAGGAATTGTGGGGGTCATGGCCATTGGCCCCCTAAATGTTCACTGAAAATTCACTGGCATGAGGCAGGTTGACCAATAGAACAAAAACCATACAAATTTATTTAATGTGTATACATGTATAATGTAACATGTATGCAGACTTTTTTTCAGCCTTCAGAATGAAGACCCAACTTCCCAATGAGTTACCCAGACTTTGACACCATTTTGCTTGGATTCTGGCAAAACAGATTATGGGAGGGAGGAGAAGAAGAATTCTATTGAGGAGAAATAAATGATTGCTAGGTAGAATGATTGGATAGGGAACAGAGATTAACTTGTAAGTGGTTTTCTTTGGAATTTAAATGGTCCTTCCAGACGGACATTATATTTGTAAAAGGTCTACTCAGGTATGGTCGCATCTTGGTCTTTCTCTGCAATTGATATCAGAAAGGGGAAGGAAGAACAGTTGTTTTCCTATGTGGGTCTAGATCTTAGTCAGATAAAAGAACTTCGGCCTCTTTGGGAGAGATGATGGGTGTGGTAGAGGCAGGGGAAGTCAGAGAGACCTTGAGACTTCTTTAGATCAGCATGCCAAAATGCCATATTTTGGGGGTATTGGTTTTTGAGCTCCAACAGAGTAGTGCAATTACTCTGTGCTCATTATAGTTCTCTTGTGTCTTTGCACTGAAACTTTCTCTAATTTTTAGACTGTAAGTAATAGTCTCACTTTCTCCTGCCTCTCTTCCTTCCTTCATTTCTTCCTTTCTTCATTTCTTCCTTTCTTTGGTTCATCCTTCCATCCTCACTGGCTGCCTCCCTTTTTTCTTTCTTCCTCACTAGTCATCTTGTTTTCTTTCTTGCTTTCATTTAAAGATTTATTGAGTTCTTCCTGTAGGCCATTCTCTTTGTCAGGTGCTTGTAATATAGTATTTAACAAGACAAACAGGGGCCCTCTGGTCAGGAAAGTTACATTCAGGCAGGAAGTGAAAGTCAATAGACATGTTTACAACTAAGTAAATAAGATGATTTCAAACAGTGATAAGTGTTGTATAGAAAGTAAAACAGGATGAGGTAAATTACAAGTGAGCCTAGAGGTGGACAGAGTCCCCTTAGATAGGGATAAAAAATATATCTCTGTGGAGGAAATATTTCAGATGATACTAAATCTCAGTTAAATTATTTCATTAATAAAACCAGCTGCTCCAGGAAAAATCTGGAGGCCAAATTAAATATATTCCCACCATCAAACTCAGCGTTCAATCTCCACATAACAATATTATCTCCAAAATATTTCTCAAATCTATTAATCATCTTAATTTCACTACCACTACCCTAGATTTCAGCACTGTATTTGTTACAGGTAGTTAGACAGGCATAAGCAGGGCAGGAGAGGGCTCTCCCCCATTCACTAGGAATGTTGGGTGATGGTTTGACCATTCCCTCATGGTCCATACCTGTTGCACTGAAGTGTTAATTGAATGCCGATACCAGAGAGAGGGAACTTCCTGGGCATGCACATTAAGAGACAAAATGGTAGAGTATGACCTTCTGGGGGCACACCACTGGAAAAGAGAAGAAAGCTTTCGATGGGCATGTATGCACTGTCATAAACACACTGTACGTGCTCACCTCTCAAGGGCAAGGAGGGCAGTGTATATGTGGGCAGCCCACCCCAGGGGAAGCATCATGGGAAAGGGGCCAGCCTATAAAGCCCTAGGATCAAGGTTAAACACCGCACTTGACCTTCACATACATCTTCTTTCAAATGTGCTTTCCTTTTTTTCCTGTTCTAAAACGTTTCTAAATAAACTTCCACTCTTACTCTGAAACTTGCCTTGGTTTCTTTTTCTACCTTATGCCCCTCAGTCAAATTCTTTCTTCTGAGGAGGTAAGAATTGAGGCGGCTGCAGGCCTGTACTGATTCACCACAGGTAACTCGAATACCTTCCGCCAGTAACATATTCACTCAGATATACTTTGTTATTACTAATATTATCATGCCCAAACAATTCTCATGACTACAGGAATGCTCTTGTATATATTTAAATAGTTTATTACGTATGTTACATACATTATATGCATATATATGTATGTGTATATGTGTATGTATAGATATACGTATGCATTTGTGTATATATGTATGTATAGATACATATATATACATTTGTGTATATATGTATAGATACATATATGTGCATTTGTGTATATAGGTATGTAAAGATACATATGTATGCATTTGTGTGTGTATGTATGTGTATATAAATATGTGTGTATATATGTGTGTATATATGTGTGTCTATATATGTGTGTGTGTATATATACACACACACACACACACACACACACACACACACACACACATATCTGGGTACCAGCCTTCAAACCTAAGAACTGAAATATCCTGGTAATATTGAATCCACCTCTGTGCTCCTCCCTAATCTCACCTCATTGCCTGCCTAGCCCTCAAAGGTAACTACTATTCTAAATTTTATAATTCCATTGTTTTCTAAAATATGTAACACACACACATACACACATACTTTCATAATAAATATTATTTATTTCATTAGTTTTATTTGAGCATTATAAAATTACTATAATATTCAGTCTTCTATGACTTTTTTTCAGTGATACTATGTTCATCAGATTCATCCACATTGTTGAATATAACTGTGGTTTATTTTATTGCTGTATAATGCTACATTGTGTAAATATTTGAATAGTTAATGTTTGTATTATCATGTTGATTGGCATCTGGGTTACTTGTAGTTTTGTGGGTTTATTTGCTTTTGCTGTTATAAACAATGCTCCTATGAATAATCTTGCATATTTATATTTGGGTATACGTGCAAGAGTTTTTTTATTATATATCTTAGAGTTTATTTTCTTTTTGGTTGGCATACCATGGTCAGCTTTACAAAATACTGCTAATTTCTTTTTCAAAGTGAATATATAAGATTGTGCTCCCACTAGCATAACAAGGTGTTCCTAATGTCCCACATTCTCTAAAATGCCCGATATCATCAGAATTCTTCATTTTTGTTTTGAGAGGATAATATATGTGAGTTAAATTTGAATGCTGTTGATTACTACTGTAATCTTGCAACTTTTCATATTTCTATTGGTTATTTTCTTTTCTCTGAGGTACCTGCTCATGGTTTTTGCCCAATTTTTATATTAATCCATAGGGATATTTTTATTCATTCTAGATACTAATTCTTTGTCAGTTATTTGTGTTGCAAATATCTTCTCCTAGATTGAGGTTTGTCATTATTTTCTTCTTTACCCTGAGTTATAAAGTGATTTTTATACCATCTAAGTTGATTCTTTTATATGGCGTCAGGTAGGAGTCTAATTCTATATTTTGTCTAGCATGGTTTTTTGAATAGTTATCCTTTTTCCTTTTAGAGTGTCCACAGCAATATGTCAAGACATGTATTTGCCAGGACTATTGTAGGCTCAAAAATATTGAAAGACAGTTTTAACGTTTTCAATTTGACTGAGATGATAAAGTATATTATATAGAAAGTGGTTTCAAAAGATGTCCATGGTCTAGTCTCTGGAACCTGTGACTAGATCACCTTATATAAGAAAAGGAAATTTGAAAATGTTATTATGTTAAGGATCTTGAAATGGGAGATTGTCCTGGATTTTCTGAGTGGACCTAATATAATCACAAGGGTTATTATAAAAATAAAAGACAGTCAATGTCAGTAAAAGATTTGACTAGGGAAGCAAATATTAGAGTAATCTTGTTTGAAGATGGACGAAGGGGCCACAAGCCAAAAAGTGCAAGTGGCCCTTATGAGCTAGTATAGGCGCCAAGGCCTTTGGTGCCCTAAAAGTTCACTGAGCAGTCACTGAGATAAGGTAGATTTATTAAATAGGAAAAAAAGGCATACAAGCTTATTTGATGTGTATATATGGGAGCCTTCCATGAAGATCCAAAGACACAGGAGGAAGTTGTCTACTTTTGTCCTTAGGTTTAACAAAGTATGGACAGCCATGTAGAAATAGGATTGGCCCAAAAGGGCATGATCTAATGTTAATAGACTGAGTGGGGAAACCCATCGAGGCCTGTCTGTCTACATTTTCCTTGGCCTCTCTGAGCATCATTCCTTCCTTCTGAGTGTGGGGCATGGCCTTGTCTGAATTAGGGGTCTTATGACCTACAGTGAAACAGGATATATCTGATAATTTCTTTATGAGCAGTTTTTATACAGAAAGGCAGAAGGAAAGTTAGAGTAGTATTTTTAGTTTTTGTTGGCTTGCTTTGGAGAAAAGAGGTTCTGATTTCTATAAGCCATTTTGGGGAAGACAGATTCTACTTCCTGTAGCTAGCCATGGGGTAGAACAGGATTAAAGCAGGGGAGACAGGAGAAGGTCAGAGAAAAGGCAAGGAAATGTATTCTCCACTAGCTTCCAGAAGGAGTGTAGTGGTCGCCTTGATTTTTTGCTCCATAAAACTTGTTTTAGACTTTCAGCCTCCAGAATTCTGAGACTATGTTATATGGTTTGGATTTGTATTCCCACCCTCTCATGTCAAATTTTAATCCTCAATATTGGAGGAGGGGTGGGAGGTGATTGGATCATGGGGGTGGACTTCCTTCTTGCTGTTCTCATAACAGTGAGCGAATTCTCATGAGATCTGGTTCCTTAAAAGTGTAGCACCTCCTCCTTCACTTTCTTCCTTCTGCTCCAGCCATATAGGATGTGCTGGCTTCCCCTTCACCTTCTGCCATCATTGTAAATTTCCTGAGGCCTCCCCAGCCTGGGGAACTATGAGCCAAATAAACTCTATTCTTTATAAATTACCCAGTCTCAGGTAGCTCTTTATAGCAATGTGAAAATGGACTAATATACTATAGAACTAATTTGTGTAGCTTTGAGCCATTACGTTTCTGGTGTTATAGCAGCAATAGGAAACGAATACAGAAGGTAATTGCAGAGTTTTGCACAAAGAAATTGTGTGATTTAACTTATATTATAACAAGAACACTCTGGCTGCTATGTTGAAATTGTTGGGGCTCAGATAATGATACTCTAACGTATGGCATTGGCATGCTGAGTCCTTTGAACTAAAGGAGATTGGAAGGCCTCAGAAGCAAAGTCTTTCTGACCTTTTCCTGCCCTCTTGTCTCCCACCACTCTTTCTCCCTTGCATGAGTCATAGAAACTAGAATTTGTCTTCCACAAGGTAGGTCAGAGAAATTATAAGCCCTCTCTCTCAAAGCAAGCCATAAAGCCTATAAATATTATTCCACCCCTCCACCCTTTCCTGTAGAGGAGCTGAACATAAAGAAATTTTCTCCCCTACCTTGTCTGATGGTAGGTCATAAAACCCTCATTCCATAGGGGTCCTCCTCTATACCCAGAGGAAGGAATGCTGTACAAAGAGGCCAAGAGGAATTTAAACAAGCAGGCTTAGCTAGGTTTCCTCCGCTAAGCTCATTACCATTAGGTCAAACCCTTTGTCCAAGCACATATCTACATGGCTGCCCATTCTTCATCCAATCTGTGCATAAAAATAGAGTTTTCCCTGCATTTTTTTGGATCTTCATTTCTGAAGCTTCCCATATCACATAAAACTTTGACTAAATAAATTTGTTATGCTTTTCTTCTGTTAATCTGTCTTTTTTTCTACAAGTGTTGGCTATGAGTGACCTTTATGATGAGTGAGGAAAGGTATGACATTTTTTCTACCCATTTGCTTCTAAAATAGAATGTAGAAAACTAGAGTAGGAGTAGGAAAACCAGTTAGGAGACTCTTGAAATAATAGAGGTGACGAGGTTCAGGACACACTACCCCAAAATATATCAGCTTGACATTTGAAAAACAGCAGAAGCAGGAAAGTCTCTTTGACTTTGTCCTGTCATTCTCCCCTGAAGCAGATAATAAAATAATTATTTAACTTTCCTCTTAAGTAAGTTATAAGACCCTCATTTCAGAGAGGAAAGAGATAAAGACACAGACACACACAAAAAAGAATTTAGCAAACAAACAGGCCTTGCTAATTCCCCAAGTTTATTACTATTACATTATACCCTCTCTTGTTCAATTACACTTCTATACGATTGTCCACTCTTCATCAAACTTAATCACAAAAATACACAGTTTTCCCTGTTTATTTAGGTCTTCAGTTCTGAAGGCACTTGTGTCACACACAATTTATGTTAAACAATTTTTCTTGCTTTTCTCTTGTTAATCTGTCTTTTATTATAGCAGTCCCAACCATAAACCTTGCAATGGGTAAGAAAAAACTATGACTTTTTCTTCCATACAGAGGAGAGCTAGATCAATGTCTTGAACTAGGCCACTAATAATACAGGTGGTAAATGGCCTCTGTCTATTTTTGTTCTTTCTCTTAGCAACTAGTTCTGCCTGGCAATCTGCTCTTTTAAAACTTATTTTACTGCCTATTTTGGGTACCTACTGCTTTAAACAAGTAGTTTCTTAAAGTCTAACTCTGAAAGAGCTTGTATCCTAGCCTGACATAGGAAAATGCTATGTGTGGTTTGAGTAAGCAAGCATTCTTCATGGTTTTGGAAGGTACTGGGATGACAGAGTGGCCCATCTTTCTCTCTTTCTTCTCACATGGTGTTGAAATGTTAGTGGCTGATACAATAATTCTCAGTGTTTGCTACCTCCATGCTGTTTGTTCAGACAACACAATGCAATCAGTAGCATCTCTCCAAGTGATTGTCTCACCGATTGTGGGAGAGAGAAGATGAGTGGATGATGTGAGATTGAAGTGAAGAATGTCCCCAGAGAGCAATACCTCCCACTCTTCCAGAATGAGGACGGAAACTAACTATGTGTTAAATGATCTACAAGCTAGATCTTTTTTGTAAAATAAAAAACTAAAACTAAAATCAGTTTACAAAAATTTAGAAAAAACAAAATAAACATGAGTGCCTTTGAGGCAAAAAAAAGCAGTTGTATGAAGAGAACTCACATAATTAGGTTGCTGAGAGTAGAAGATAAACTTTGTCTGCAGTTTCCTGGCCCTCACATCCCAGAAGAAAGCCACATAAAAACATGTAAACATAAAGCTAGTGAAATAAGAATGCTATGAAAAACATTGTGATTCTTTTGCAGTACAGCAGGTAGATATTTTGTAGGTAAGAAGCTAAAATAGTATATTTGTTTTTCTTTGTTTAATATAATTTCTCTACCCCAAAGGAGCAAGAAATGTAACACTGCTATTAATAAGTGATCTACAAGCATCCTTTTGCCTCCCTGTCTCATTTTAAAGCATAAATTAGAACAAAGACTTATAAAACAATATTGTATCTATGCTGCTGGAGAGGTTTCCTGATTCCGTTCAATCTGCCAAACGCTTCACAGAGAGGTCAGTGGTGTAACACATAATTTTGAAATTAAAATGTAAAGTGAGGATAAGTGATCAAGGAATGTAATGTAGGTAAAATTATAGTATAAAATTACATAAAATTAACATAAATGTATGTAGTGTAAATTAACATAATTTTATGTAGTGTAAGTTACCTAAAATTAACTTGCCTATGTTGTTACAGTATCTGAAAAATCTTTTATTAATTTTTAAGTCTCGCTTCTGAAACAAATTTCAAGTCTCAACATCATAACATAATGAATGTTTGTTTTAATCACATCATGGCCCAAATAAATTAATCAGCATGGGGCTCTATTCTGCCAAGTCTTTGAGGAACATAGGCTCCTTCCACTAAGTCCCTTGGAGTCTGGACTGTTAACACTGACTCATTCAGAAAAGCATGGTTCTTTCTTCTTGTACGTCTGACATTGATTCTGGATCATTTGCCTCTAACTGGCTGATAAGCATAGAAAAAGCAGAAGAATCATGCTAGAGGTTTTAGAGTCAGGCTGGAGATTCTATTGCTTGAACTTAGTCTAATGGTCCTGTTACCCATAGAGATGCTTTATTACCAGGAAGCCCAAGAGAAACACAATTATCGATGGGCACAAGCGTTTCCTGTTTCAACTGCTTCTCTCACATAAACAAATGCAAGAGTTAGTTTCATCTACTATTATTTCAGACAAATTTATAGGCTTGCAGTCTTCTAGATTCTGCCTTAGACTATGAGAACATGTAAAGACAATAAATAGCTTTTGTTTTCAAGGTAGTGTCTAGTGGGGAAGCTAAACATACAAGTAGGGAAAGCACAATAACAGAATTTAAGACCATACCAGTGTGCTATAGAAATGTAAATGTGGAATGATTTCTCCTCACTGAAGGGTATGAAAGAAGATTTTTCTGACTGTGATTACCTTTGAACAGAGTTGTTATGTGAAATGGAGTTAGCTATGGAAAGGAGTTGATTAGGGAAGGAGGCATGTAAAGGCTTAGGGGTATACAAATTTTGTTCCTTTCCCAGGGAATGGCTAGCTGTTTGGAATAGCTAAAATATATAGAAACTACCTAGGCAGGACATGATATAAGAGCCGTATCACCCAGAGCCTTTTATATCTTTAAGAACCTGTAATTTATTCATTAATAAAACAGCCTTTATGGCAGACAGAACATGATAATCCTGTAATCACGTTCAGTCATCTGAAAGTGTACATTTTCCAAAGCGACCTCTAGGTGGGGTGGAGAGGAGTGACACTTTGGGTCAGTTTCAAAGATTCGTTTTGCCTGTTAACCCACTTTTCCCCCTCTGAGCCAAGGGGAATTCAAAATAGGACAAATCAGATGAAAGATTCTGAAAATATTTCTTGTTTGAGGAATGATTAATTTTATCTTGTTTATATGTGCATGTATTGTCCCTAATAGTCTTCTATATATTTTCAGTTGAAAAGATTTGTGATAGTGAATAAGCAATTCTGTTGCTTAAGTAAAAGACATTTCCAAAAGCTTTTTAATAAGGACTACAAAATTTGGATGTAAGCATGATATGATCTTTTTGATTAAAAAATAGGTGGAGGAATCATTTATTTTCCAAGAATCCAGGTAGAACTCTTTTGTCCAGGTTAGCTTGAGTCCAGTTTCCTGAATAATCCCTCATCTCCCTCAGAGAAAGAAAATGTGAGTGAAGGACAAACTAGCGGCAAGTTGCACACCAGCCTAAGGCAAAAGTGAACATGTTTGAATGCTCTGGGAAACTGATGTGACAAGGAACTGTGTTGGGAAGATGCTGCCAAAGAGTCCAGCTGTGGAAATAAAATTGTTTTGTGTAGCCCACGCTTGGTCACCTCATTGTCATATTGATGGAAATGACTAATGCTCCATGCCCCCACTTTACCCCATCCCTGTCTTTGACACAAGTTGGAAGTACTTTGGACACTTGAACTGTATTATAGCTAAGCCAGTTTCTGCTATAACTATTTCAGGAGCAGGTGGCATTCGAAAGTTTGCAAATAAAATAAATTCCAGGATAGCTGTCTATAGTGGCTAGCAATGTGAATGACTAGAACGGTAGAGCAGAGAAAGGATGGGCTTTAGATGTAGTTGCATGGGAAGCAGGATAACTGCATGAACACCAGCCAGCTGGGTGGATAATTTTTACTTAGCTAACCTCTCCAAGGTTTCACATGTACAATTATTGAATAATAATACTTTCCTTGTCAAGTTTCTGTTGGATTAAGGGTAGTGTGAACAAAAAAGCATTTAGTTTTGGAAGTCAGTGGGTATCTGTTTGTCTTTACAAATTGTATTTTGTAATTTCATTTGGCCCAGTTGCCTGATCTACAACTTAAATTTGTTCTATGTTAACATAACAAGTTATGTTGAGAAAACACGATATGTTGTTAAATGTAGTAGAGTAACAAAAACAGCCTCAGCCTGCATCTTTCATTCATTTATTTATTTCTGGGTTTTTTTCAACTTTTATTTTACAATCAGGGGATACATGTGCAGGTTTGTTACAAAGGTATATTACATGATGCTAAAGTTTGGGTTAGAACTGAACCCATCACCCACGTATTGAGCATAGTGCCCAATAGTTAATTTTTCAGCCATTGCCCCTGTCCTTTTCTCCCCCCTCTAGTAAACCCCATTGTCTATTGTTCCTATCTCTATATCCAGATGTACCCAAAATTTAGCTCCCACTTATAAGCTAGAATATGCTATATTTGGTTTTGTTTCTGTATTAGTTTTGGATAATGGACTCCAGCTGCATCAATGTTGCTGTAAAGAACATGATTTTAATTGTTTTTTATGACTGCGTAGTATTCTTTAACTTGTTCTATGAAGCCAGCATCATTCTGATACCAAAATTCAGCAGAGACACGATGAAAAAAGAAAACTGTAAGCCAGTATCTGTAATGAACATAGATGCAAAAATTCTCGACAAAATACTGGCAAACTGAATCCAGCAACACATCAGAAAGTTAATTCACCATGATCAGTAGGCTTTATTCTGGGATCCAACAATATGCAAATAAATAAATGTGATTCACCACATAAATAAAAACAAAATCCACGTGATCATCTAATAGATGCAGAAAATACTTTCACACATTTATAATGTATTTTTTAAAATGAATTTAAAGTGGGGACTACCGGCCATGCATGGTGGCTCACGCCTGTAATCCCAGCACTTTGGGAGGCCAAGGCGGGCAGAACATTTGAGGTCAGGAGTTTGAGACCAGCCTGGCCAACATGGTGAAACCCCGTCTCTACTAAAAAATACAAAAATTAGCCAGGTGTGGCGGCACGCACTGGCAATTCAGCTACTCAGGAGGCTGAGGCAGGAGAATCGCTTGAACCCAAGAGGCAGAGGTTGCAGTGACCTGAGATGGCACCACTGCACTTTAGGTAAGCTTGGCAAAACAATGTCCTATTTCTCTGTGAAATGAAATGGACAAATTAACTTTAAATGAAATGGACTTTGATAATTGACTACCAAAAGGTATTTATTAGTTCTGCCCCACTTTTCTTCCAGTCAAAAAAAAATCTTAGAGAAAATAATCCCCTTTCCCCTAGTCACAGAACATAATGCTTGCTCTTAATCATGCATAGTGATCCCAATCCCTGCATCTAAGGTATGGTTTAGAATGTGTATGGAATCTAGGTTTTGTCAATTGATGTAAGAGGGGATCTTTGGTATTGAGCAGTAAGTGGAAATTATGAAAAGTTATTTTTATCTGGATATAAAGAACCTCAGAAAAAAAAAACCATTCCCTTCTTTGTATATTGAACATGGTTAATAAAGTTAATGATGCTTGGAGCTTTCTCAGCCATGTTCTAACTATGCTCTGACAAGCTTACAGACAACAGCAACTATGCTGACACATTGACAATGGCAGAGGGTAAACAAAGACTGCGGGCATTTGAACACATTTTTGAGTGCTTACCTAAAACTTACATCTTCATGACTTTAGCCATTACTATTTGGACATTCTGTTACATGCATCTACCTGTGCCCTAATTGTTAAAACTAAATGCTAAACGAAGGGAGCTGACTGCCAACACTTGAGAAGAACAAGGGTGCCATGAAAACAACACAAACCTTTTAAACATTTTATTTTTTCCCTTTATTCATTCACTGAGTGTTTTTTAAACATCTTTTCTATGGCAAAGCACTGCTGTAGGAAATTTTACCAAATATCAAATTCTTTTATAAAAACACATAAATGTGCAAAACAAACTCTATTCATTCATTCATTCATTATATTATTTTTTTTTTTTTGCGACAGCGTACAGCTCTGTTGCCCAGGCTGGAGTGCAGTGGCGTGATCATGACTCAATGCAACCTTGATTTTCCAGACTCAAGCAATGCTCCCACCTCTGCCTCTTGAGGAGCTGGGACTACAGACAGGAGCCACCACCCCTGGCTAATTTTCTTTAAAAAAAATTTGCGGAGATGAGGTTTCACTATGTTGCCCAGGATGGTCTTGAACTCCTAGGCTCAGCCTCAGCCTCCTGAGTAGCTGGGATTACAGCTGTGAGCCAACATACCCAAACTCAATTTAATAAACAATCATTGAGCATCTATTTTACACAATGCTAAGTGTGAGCATATAATGGGGTGACAAATTTTATGAGGCACGTAGGTATTCAAGACAGTATTGTATTATTTATGATCATAGTGTTTATAGAGTATTAAAGGCAGTATATTGTTTATGGTTGTGGTGTTTATGATCAAATAGGCATAGGTTTAAAATCTGGCTTTGGAATTTTCAGACCACATGACTTTGGACATGTTATTTATCACCTGCAAGCATATACTTCTCTATATGGAAATGCAAATCATACTTACTTTGTTAGATAGCTGTAAGTATCAAATAAAGGTCTGTAAGACATTGTCATTATCCTCTTCATGATCTGAAGAAAGTGGAAAGAGTATTAGAAGGAGTATCTGCCTTCTTTCTGAGTTTTAATATAATGTATTTTTCATATAGGACCAAAATATACAGGGATTTCACAAGAAAGTACAATGTACAAGCCCACAAAATGTTTTATAACTCCATCCACTCTCTTTCTAAGGAAAGAGATAGCAATAAAAACCAATATTCTCTACTTGTATCCAGCATGAATTGCTATTCTTCATGCAATGGGAGTGTTTGCAAAGGTAATTATTCAATTACTTTTATAGCCAGATTTAACCATTCAGCTCTAGAAAAAGAAACAAATATAATTCACCTTCCAGACATTTTTATAAACCTAAAGTGGGATGTATGTCAAAGATTTCTTATTGTTTTCAATAACATATTATTTAACACATCATTTGCCCACTATTTATGGTTTTTCCTAGTTTGTTAGTAGCCCTGTAGGGTAGAAACTTCACTGTGACCAACATGAAGGTTCAATGCAGACCTAGGAGCAGGTCCCTTAGTCCATGGCAGGGTTCCCAGTCACCTCAGTATTTTGCCAGTTATAGCTTCCAGTTATCAACATCTGAGGCTATCCTTGCAGTTGAGTTCATGTATGGATAAGAAATATAATTTGGTCATGTAGGTGAGAACATATAGAGAATATAAAACTGGGTCTGGCACAAGTTATTATCTCTACTATCTAGATCATAATGCATGTATACATAGAGCATTATTTAAATAAAATTTACCATTATTTTGATTAGAAAGCAAAATTTAAAAAAAATGTGATTCCCAGGGAAATTGAACTATGAATCTCTTTACTGCTACATTTGATTACCCAATAAGCCTTTATAACACTATGGCAGAATTATATAACCCAAAATAAATGCTGTTAGGTATTTTACTTAATCTATTTTATTGCTCTTGCCGAGAATTTGCTCCAGTTATTTAAACTATAATTACCAGACTATAGTATTATGTTGTGAATAGTTTATTTTCACTCCTGTCATGCCTCAAAATCTTGTGTTTTGCATACTTTTTTCAGGTGTATTAGTTGTTTGATATATTATTTTTAGCATGTATCACCAACTATGACCCATAAATTCTGATTTGCAACACATCTTTTGATACTGCTACATTTTCTTTCTTAAATTACTTCTTTTTCCATGTGAAAACCTTTAGATCTAACGCAAATAAAACAGTAAATGAAAATATACTTATTTGGAGTTAAGAAGATAAGAATTGCATTTACAAGGCTTTTATTCAAATAAAAGAGTGTGATTCCTGTTTGAGTAAGCAATGATTAAATGAGGTACACACATAGCATATGTAGTTAATTTGAGCTTCCATACACACATACACACACACATACACATATACACAAACATGTGGTCTTGATCTAACTAATTACTTATTAGATATGTTTTTTCTATGTTTAATCAAATATTTAGATTGTTGCCTATTTAAATGACATGTCCATGTCATTTGCTTTCCCTATTGCAAATATGAAGGGTTATGTGCCGAGGTTTCTGTTTTTGGTCTTTGGTTTTAAGTTGAAGTGCAATTCTCTCCAAATCTCTTATTCTCATTGTAGAAAAGATTTAAGGATTTAGAGGGACTAAAACTCATGTAATCATTTAAGCCAACATGTTTTTTATAATCACTTATTAGTATGTTTTTTTCTTCTTGAATGATTTGCTCAGAATATGTATTACATTAGCTTAGGTTATTCCTCTTACCTTCACCCTGCTACCACCCCTTTGAAGTTTCCTTATCCAGAGGCACTGGTTGATGGGAGTGTATATGACTTTTAGGTGAATATTTTAGATGAGGGGTGTAGAGAGATACTGAATGTGTGGTCAAATTTATCAGTTTACCTGATGACCACTGGGTCTGGAACAAGTTAAAGCTTAGGAATTGACTGACAGTTCAAATTGGCTTGGGTTGTACTTGGCATGAGGGGTATATCACTAAAAGACAACAGGATATAGCAGAAAAAGCATCAACTCTAGAGATAAAGGGATCTGCTCTTCTACCTTGCTTCTACTCCTTACCACCTGAGTACTTGAGAAATTCGTGTAAATTCTCTGAGACACGGTTATAATTCATATTTCTTGGGGTTGTAAGTGCTAGTTAAGTATGTATTTGAATGTTCCTAGCATATTACATGGCACATAGAAAGTGATAATACAAGATTCACTTGGCATTATGCATATATGTTCAATGAATCTTAATTCTCATTTTGATTGTGCAGACTTCAAACATCCCATATTTCTTTTTTTTTTTTTTTTTTTGAGATGGAGTCTCACTCTGTCACCCAGGCTGGAGTGCAGTGGTGCGATCTCAGCTCGCTGCAACCTCTGCCTCCCCGATTCAAGCGATTCTCCTGCCTCAGCCTCCCGAGTAGCTGGGACTACGGGCACGTGCCATCACGCCTGGCTAATTTTTTTTGTATTGTTAGTAGAGACAGGGTTTCACTGTGTTAGCCAGGATGGTCTTGATCACCTGACCTCGCAATCTGCCTGCCTCGGCCTCCCAAAGTGCTGGGATTACAGGCCTGACCCACCGCGCCTGGCCTCATATTTCTTTTTAGTCTCAGTTTTGATGATTTTATTGCACTTTTAGATGCTTCAGAGAATAGATTTTCAAAATGCATCCTTTCTTTAACTTTTTCCATGTATAATTTCTCTTCCCCTTCCTGTTTTTCTCCTAATTATTTCTTTTCTATTTTATATGAGCTGTTCTGTTTTCCCTCTGGCTTATACACCTCAAGAACATATCAGGTTGCTCATTATAAGGTAAAATGCACAAAGTAGAAACCCCAAAATTTGTGTTGTTAGACCTACTTAATATCTACCACAATGTAATTATTTGATCTCTTGTCGTTCAAACTTTTTATGAAGAAACACACAAAAACTGTACTATTTTCCTTCATGAATAGTTTTCCCATTTTTTTTAAAATTTAGAGATATGTTTATTGACACACGCTTTACTGTTCTCAGGATTAAGATTATAATGGAGATAACCCGAGGAGCAGATTTTGGAAGATTCTAAAAACAAGATAAATCATTGTTGATATTCCACGTCTTTCATTCGATATTGAGTGGTAAGGCTTTAAACAGTTTTTGAAATTTGGACTGCCAGGACTTGAAGGATCTTTGAGAAGCAGTTTTTTGTTGTTGTTGTTGTTGTTGTTTTGAATTTCTTTATTTTTCTTATTTCTGCTTGCAATTGAAAGCATCACTTTTGTTTGCTTCCTGAAAAATGACAGACAGAAAGAAGAGAAACAATGAAATTAATGGAGAGGTACAACGTACCTTGGCAATAAAGTAGGTCTGTCACCAAGTCATAATTTTATTGTTCCCGTTACAGTATGAAATCTGTCCAATAGACAGTGAGTTGCAATAATAACTCTGTGTGTAAAGAATAATAATGGAATAACTGCAAAGAGAAGAAGTATCTGTTCTCTCTGCTAAATTGAGTGACTTCATCTGGATGAAAGAGTTAGAAGCTTGGGAGATAAATTGAGTGGTTGAAGATGAAATATGAGCCTGCTCAGATAATCAAATAATGCACAGTTGAATTATTTATTTCTATTCAGGTTTCAAGTCAAATGTTACCTCCTCATAGAAGCTGTATTAGTTTGTTTTCATGCTGCTGATAAGGACATACCTGAAACTCAGAACAAAAAGAGGTTTAATTGGACTTACAGTTCTACACGGATGGGGAGGCCTCAGAATCATAACAGGAGGTGAAAGTCACTTCTTAACATGGCAGTGGCAAGGGAAAAATAAGGAAGAAGCAAAAGTGGAAACCCCTAATAAATCCATCAGATCTCATGAGACTTATTCACTATCATGAGACTAGCAGGGGAAAGATGGGCCCCCGTGATTCAATTACCTTTCCTTGAGTCCCTCCCACAACACGTGGTAATTCCTAGAGATACAATTCAAGTTGAGATTTGGGTGGAGACATAGCCAAACCATATCAGTCCACCCCTGGCCCCTCTAAATTTCATGTCCTCACATTTCAAAACCAATCATGCTTTCCCAACAGTCCCCAAAATCTGAACTCATTTCAGCATTACACAAAAGTCCACAATCCGAAGTTTCATCTGAGACAAGGCAAGTCTCTTCTGCCTATGAGCCTGTAAAATCAAAAACAAGCTAGTTACTTCCTAGATACAATGGGGGTACAGGTATTTGGTATATACAGCTGTTCCAAATGTGAGAAATTGGCCAAAACAAAGGGGTTACAGGGCGCATGCAAGTCCAAAATCCAGTGGGGCAGTCAAATTTGAAAGCTTCAAAATGACCTCTTTTGACTCCAGGTCTCACATCCAGGTCACGCTGATGCAAAAGGTGAGTTCCCATGGTGTTGGGCAGCTCCACGCCTGTGGCTTTGTAGGGTACAGCCTCCCTCCCGGCTGCTTTACAGGCTGGCATTGAATGTCTGTGACTTTTCCAGGTGCACGGTGCAAGCTGTCAGTGGATCTACCATTCTGGGGTCTGGAGGATGGTGGCCCTCTTCTCACAGCTCCACTAGGCAGTGCTCCAGTAGGGACTCTATGTGGGGGCTCTGACTCCACATTTCCTTTCCCCACTGCCCTTGCAGAGGTTCTCCATGAGGGCCCTGCCCCTGCAGCAAACATATTCCTGGGCATCCAGGCATTTCCATACATCTTCTGAAATCTAGGCAGGGGTTCCCAAACCTTAATTCTTGACTTCTGTGTACCCGCAAGCTCAACACCACATGACGTGGAAGCTGCCAAGCCTTGGAGCTTCCATCCCCTGAAGCCACAGCCTGAGCTCTACATAGGTCCCTTTCAGCCATGGCTGGAGTGGCTGAGACACAGGGCACCAAGTCCCTAGGCTGCACACAGCACAGGGACCCTGGGCCCAGCCCACGAAACCACTCTTTCCTCCTGGGCCTCTGGACCTGTGATGGGAGGGGCTGCCACTCCAAGGTCTCTGACATTTTTCCCATGGTCTTGGGAATTAACATTAGACTCCTTGCTACTTATATAAATTTCTGCAGCCACCTTGAATTTCTCCTCAAAAAATGGGTTTTTCTTTTCTACTGCAGCATCAGCCTGCAAATTTTCTGAACTTGTGTGCTCTGTTTCCCTTTTAAAATGGAGTGCTTTTGACAGCACACAATTAACCTTTTGAATGCTTTGCTGCTTAGAAATTTTTTCTGCCAGATACCCTAAATCATCTCTCTCAAAGTTCCACAAATCTCTAGGGCAGGGGCAAAATGCCACCAGTCTCTTTGCTAAAACATAACAAGAGTCACCTTTGCTCCAGTTCCCAACATGTTCCTCATCTCCATCTGAGACCACCCCAGACCGGACCTTATTGTTCATATCACTATCAACATTTTTGTCAAAGCCACTCAACAAGTCTCTAGGAGGTTCCAAACTTTCCCACATTTTTCTGTCTTCTTCTGAGCCCTCCAAACTGTTCCAACCTCTGCCTATTACCCAGTTCCAAAGTTGCTTCCACATTTTCAGGTGTCTTTTTAACAGTGCCCCACTCTACTGGTACCAATTTACTGTATTAGTTCGTTATCATGCTACCGATAAAGACATACCAAAAACTTGGAACAAAAAGAGGTTTAATTGGACTTACAGTTCCACATGGCCTGGGAGGCCTCACAGTCATGGCGGGAGGCAATTCTTACATGGCAGTGGCAAGAGGAAAATGAGGAAGAAGCAAAAGCAGAAACTCTTGATAAACTGATCAGATCTCGTGAGACCTATTCACTATCATGAGAATAGTATGGGAAAGACCAGCCCCCATGATTAAATTACCTCCTCCTGGGTCCCTCCCACAACATGTGGCAATACTGGGAGATACAATTCAAGTTGAGATTTGGGTGCGGACACAGCCAAACTGTATCAGAAGCCTTCTTGAACATCCTAGATAAAGTAAACACACAACTTAAGCACTAACTTTGACATTTGCTCTCATTATAGCACTAAATATTATATTTATTTATTCTTACTGTTCCCACATAAATATATGAAATACATGAGTAAGGCTATTTGAACTCTTACCTGGGTCTTTACAAAAACATTTAAAGAGCTTGTAAAAAGTTATATTTCTTTTTTTTATTATTATTATACTTTAAGTTCTGGGGTACACGTGCACAACATACAGGTTTGTTAAATAGGTATACATGTGCCATGGTGGTTTGCTGCACCCATCAACCCATCATCTACATTAGGTATTTCTCCTAATGCTATCCCTCCCCTAGCCCCTCACCCCGCCGACAGGCCCCAGTGTGTGATGTTCCCTTCCCTGTGTCCATATGTTCTCATTGTTCAACTTCCACTTATGGGTGAGAACATGCAGTGTTTGGTTTTCTATGCCCATCACTGATAGACTGGATAAGGAAAATGTGGCACATACACACCATGGAATACTATGCAGCCATAAAAAAGGATGAGTTCATGTCCTTTGCAGGGACATGGATGAAGCTGGAAACCATCATTCTCAGCAAAAGTTATATTTCTAACTATCTTACAGTAAGGCCTCTGTGTCTTTATTCCCAAACCACTGTATTTTAGCATGGATAAAAATTTCCACCATTTAGATAGACAGAAAATATGCAAATTGATTTACACTGGTCATCTAAATGCTGTTATCTTTTCACAGATATTGAGCACTTTGTCTGCAGGAAGCTTGATGTAAAAGAGGAAAGAGACAGTTGTCCCTCCATTAAAACTTTAAAAAATGTGTGTGTGTGTGTGTGTGTGTGTGTGTGTGTGTGTGTTTTACAGGGACAGAAAAGTTAAATAAGTGACATAATTGATGGAGATGCTAAGGAAGTAAAGGGAAAAAAAGGAGGGTACACTGATAATGGTGATAATACCTGTAAAACAAAACCTCTTTTTCCCCTTCTGTTCATGTTCCAATAAAAATACAAAATAAAGTATAAAAATAAAAGTCACACTCAGCTCCTTTCACCAAAATTCCTGATTTATAATATCTGATTTTATCAACATGATACTCTTTCCTTTCTTTGCTATCTAGAATGTTTGTTTGCAAGTCTTATCATGTGGAGTTTGTCTTGTCTATCAGATTAGAAACTCATAAAAGGAACGGAATACTGGTGTTTATTTATTTATATGTTCTGCTGCAGCACTTAGTACTAACGTATATACAAAATAAACTTAATCCTCTCGATTGACAAGAAATCTATATTCCTAAAAAGTAAATGCTGACAAGAGCATTCTGGTTTTTCTAATATTTGCATTCCACTGTATATATGGTGAGCTATCAAGATATAATTTATGGCTGGACATGATGGCTTATCCCTATAATCTCAGCACTTGAGAGGCCAAGGCAGGAGGATCCCTTGAGCCTGGGAGTTTGAGCTTACAGTAAGCAAGACCCTGTCTCCAAAAAAAAAAAAAAAAAAAAAAAAAAAGATGTAATTTGTTATCTTCTACGTACTTCACTGGTTGTTAGAAGATACTGATCCAGGTGAACAATATCATGTCAATCTCACATATACAATTTTCACAGCCATTAATAATAGGGTTACATTTGTACTTGCTATCAATGATTTTGAAAAATAAAGTTTTCCTCAAGAAATAGAATAATTTTCTTCGGGTAAATACAATATTAAAAATTAGTTAGAAATCTTTTAATCCCAGAGAACAAGGTTTTAAGGAAAATACTGACTGTCAGGTTAAGTTTAGTTTCATAACATTTAATTCCTTATTCATTATTTTTTCAATATCAAAAAGCAGTATTTATTCTAACTCCAGTTTTATATCTGTCTTTAGTAGAGCATATTTTTAATTCATCTTGAATCTTTAACTTGCCGCCCAAGCTTACTTGATGTCAGAATAATTCGATTTTAATGTTTTGAAGCTTTAAGCCATATTTTTGCTCTTGAATACTGTGAGGAATTTAACAATTAATAAAGCAGCAGGTTTTATTTTGCATATTACATATAGTAGTTCTCCCTTATTTGTGGTTTCACTTTCCATGGTTTCACCATAGCCCAAAAATATTAATTGGAGAACTCCAGAAATAAACGCTTTTTAAGTTTTAATTGAGTGCTGTTCTGAGCAGTGTGATGTCATTGATGTCCTCTTCTCTTGACATGAAACCAGCCACACTGTCATGTAGTTGTTGTCAGCTACTTTTGGCACCACATCTAAAGAGCTAACTTGAGAACGAAGTCAACACAGAGTAAACCATGGAAAGAGACAGGGACTGATTTCTATTAATGTATTTTTGGACACTTGGATTTGAATGAGAGTAAAAAGAATAATAATCATTTTAACTAAAGCCACTTTGAATTGAGTTTTGGTCATTTGCAACTAAAACATTTCTGACTATTATAGCCTTAATTTATGCAAATTTAAAACGTATGAATAATGCTATTGTACATTGAGTCGTTCTGGTTTATTTCATAGATATATGAAAATTAAATATATCTATGATATATATAAATATATCTGGTTCATTTCATAATATATGAAAATTAAAATACAGCATAATAGACCACCATTTTCAAACTTTCTTAATCTAAACTGGTAGCAATACATTATTTCAGTCACATTGGCCCTCAATGGGAAATATTTGGTATTGTTTACAACAAATGAATGTTTAAGTGTTTTTTAAAACATAAGGTTTACATCTTGGATAAGTATATTGATAAATTAATTGAAACAAATAATCTGGGGACAATTTAACTAAAAGCAACAGTAATTTAAAAGTCACTTAAGCATGATGGTAGTAAAAGTGAAAAGGAAGTTAGAATAAAATGAAGAGAAAAAGAAAAGAGTAGCAAGGATCACTATATGGAATGACAAAAATATCAATTTAGGAAAAGATACAGAAACCTGACTTTATTCTGTGGACTTGCTTCACTGACATATAGGCCAACACAGCAATTTATTACCAGAAGAAGTTAACATATATTACTTCAAGTTTAGTACAAAAATTACGGGAGCTTTTTTGCTCATTCTCTTGTTGAAAAAGTCTACAAAATTAATTTGTACAAATTTCTGAAACATAGAGAGAAGAGAAAGTGAATAAAGTGAGTGTCTCAGAGATAGGGATAGAATTTTGCTGAAGTGTTTATTATGCTTTCTTTTTGGCTTTAAATCAATCTTTATACAATTAATATTAGTTTTATACTAGAAACTGCTAGTTCATACATTAATATACATAAATGTGAATGCTTCAGTGAAATTTTAGAATACTCCGTAATTAGAAGTAACCATAGAAGAAGAGGACATTTAAAATAATTAGAAAAAATGCTTTGTATGATATTCAGTCCCTTGAAATAGAATATGTTGTAGCAATAGAAGACAAACACCCAAGTCTAAGTAGATTAAGGTAACGGAAGTGTTTATTTTCTTGCTCATGCTACATATCTAGTTTGAGTCAGTGGAAGACGGTTGTGAGCATCTACATATCATTGTCACAAAGGGAACATGGCTGTGGGTTTTATTTCAACTCATTTTTTCCCAATCACTGAAACAATGGGAAGATATACATTGATAAGCATATTGGCTATAATAAGCTTTGGCCCAAAGTGCTATATATTACTACTACTTATGTTGCATTGGCCATAGTCAGTTACAAGAAGACCTCAGCTAACTTTCAAGGGTACCTGGAAGGAGGGAAGTGAAAAATATTTGTTGAAGAACACTGATGGCTACCAGAGTCCTCTATTCTAATCAACATACATGTGGCTCATTCTCCTTCCAGCAATTTATACTCTGCCACTTACCAAGACACACAAAACAAAATCCCACCCAGTCTCAGAATCAATTAGTCCAAGATCTCTCGGCGGTGCACAGTTTTCACTCTAAATGGGAATGATGTGTCATACTACTTTCTGTGAATCACCTTGATGTAGAAATTAATGTACTGAAAAAAAGCAAGTTAATTGAAACTCACACAAACAAAATATACTATGGAATAGATAATGCTTACCATTTATAAAGGAGAATAAAGGGTGACATAGCATCCATTGGCCTGTAGTAACTTGTAAGTTCTAGGCAGACTTTCCAGGGCATCTTACTCTAGAGTAGAAAATAATCCTTTATTTGGCCCCATTTTCTCTGGAAGAGGCTTACCCATTAATTCTCTGTGGCCTTTGGTTGTGACCTCACAGAACTTCTTTTTGTTTATTTTTGTAAGCCATATGAAAAGTGAGCATTGGAAAAATGACCTATTTGAGGAAGGAGCAATTTTCGTAGCTCACTTGTGGCATAAGTGTTTGGTGACCAAGCTGTCATTTTAATTCCTGAACAATCACATTATATTTTACTATACGTTGACAGTACTTTACCAATATAAATTTGTCAGGAAATTTCAGTTATCCCCATGGAATTATAGTCATACCAACAGTTATTTTATAGACAAGTATTTTAGATTCTCTGTGTGTGTGTGTGTAATATGGAATATATATGTAATACATAAGTTATGCTTTACCTCTATTTGTCTTCTCTCTCTCAACTTAATTTTGGGTCTTTTGGCTTTCGTGGAAGAGACATTCTGAGTTTCTTTTTTACTGAATTATTTCGTCTAGTTGAAGCATTTTAATCTATTTAGTGGTTCTAAAAGAGGGTGTAAAGCCCATAGCCTAGATTGCATCTTTATTTCTAGGTTGGATTTTTATCAGCTTTTTTCACTCAAAGTATTTCTCAATTTTGTCTTTTATTATTTGGTGTTCAGAAGAAGTTGCCTCTTCCATTCTGTGAAATTCCTCTTATTTGTGGACCTTTTCTCTTCTCTTTCATTTCTTCTTGCAAATTGACCTATTATTTTCTCAGTACATTTTGGTCATTTACTACCTTATCTAATGCAGACAGCAGCATTCCCCACATGCTGTCAAAATCCTCTTTTCCATTCTCTTATCTTAGAGCTAAAGTTTATAAGTACTGCCTTTGAAATTATTGTGAGTTATGGTTTTACTGTTTCACAATTAGATAACATGAAATTCCATCCTTCCAGCTTCCAGTAACCATTTCTTCACTGACTCCTTTCAGCTTCTTAAACTAGTACCTTCTATTTTGGGAGTTTTTTTTACAGTAGTTCTTCATCTCCAGTACCAATTTCTGTACCTGTCAGTAGAGGGTAGGTTATGATGCAGTAGAAAGCAAACTTAAGTCTCATTGGGTGAAATATCAATGTATTATTTCTCAGAGAAATAGAGTAGTTTAATATTTCCAAAAGAAATCCAGAACTGAACAGCACCCCTAATTCCATATGCAAATAAGTGTGAAAATTTGGATGAAATGCATATTTTTCTAAGAAAGTATATGTTATAAATATGATGTATAAAGAGATAGAGCCTAGGTATGCAAATAATTATGGAAAAATTAAAAAGTATAATTTTATAATCATAATCATGAGTTTGGAAAGAACTTTCCAATCCTGAATAGCATAAAAATAGAGCCAAAAAGAAAAAGATGTACAGTTTAACAAGAAAATGAGTAAAATTTTGCAAGGCAAATATATAATAGCTAAAGTTGGAAGATAAATAAAGAAATTAAACTTCTTTCTAGACATGAAAAATGATATATTAGTATTAAAATGTGATATCATTTTTACCTCATAGCCTAATGATTAAAATAAAATGATTAAAATATTTTTTGTTAAAACAGCTATAGGCATTATGTTACATAATATAATATATATGAAGGATATAATTTTCTGCAGAGTGATCTATTTAAGCAACTCTGGTTCTACAAATGTATGATATAAAAGTGATTAGACAGGTAAGAAATGTATGTAAAGAATGTCATTGTAGCAATAAGATTATTTAGAATAATAAAAGGTTGGAATAAACAAATGCATAACAAGTCAAATAAAACTAAATGGATATCAGTAAGAGTTAGTTTCATTAAAAAGCATGTGACCACTCAACCTTATTAGATAGAACACACGTCTTGGCTTAGAAAAATGTGCTGACATGTGAAGATGCTCATGACATGGCAGTGAAAAGTAGTTTTATAGAGAAGTATATTATCTTTTTTTTCCTTAAGGATAAGATTAAGGATTCACTTTTATTAACTGTTACATAAATCTCCACATTATTTTTGTCCATGAATTTTTAAAAACAAATGTCACCAAAGCCAATACAGAATAGTTCCATTTTAGGAAGAAATGTTTTACTCATAAATACACTGCCCCAGTGCCAAGTAGAAAATCTGACATAGAATAAAGAACTTTAATTTTATTGACAAATGGAATTTAAATAAACTAATAGTAACAAAAAATTATAAATAATACTAAAGTTTTTGGAAAATACCCATTTCCCTACCACCAAAGATTTTGTCAAAATACTAAACGTTTTTCAATTTCGCTTATTTTAGTTTTTGAGTCAACAGTATCTTTTTAAAATCTAGAATATTTGAACAGCTAAGGAATTTATTGAATTTTCTAAACAGTTACATGAACATGTTTATTATTAAATCACAGCATATACTGTGTGTGCCTCTGTGTGTTGGGCCCTCTTTTCATTTAACTAACCTTGTGTTATTTTCATTGAAAACAAATTACTGTTCATGCATTCAAAGGGTAATGAGCAATTAGAATATAATTGATCCAACTGAGCATCCGATTTCAGCCTTGTGCTGAGAAAATGGTCTTGAAATAATGTCTTTCCCATTAGCAATTTCACCTAATTCAGAAGACAGTTTCTTGAATGTGGGAATGGTATTGACTTGAATGAGAGTTAACTACCATTACCAAGATTATAATGCTAAGAACTTCTCAGATATTTTAAACTTGCATTTGCCGTTGAAGAAAATATTGATAAATTAAATAATGATAAATTATGTTTATATTTTTGTTACATTTCAAATGACATGCATTTGTTATTTTGTATCTATTTGCACTTCTCTGTAGTTTTAAACTAAGTATTTTAATAGGACAATATTTTTTCATTTCATTAGCTATTTATTGAGTCACTAAAATATGCTAGCCTCTCTGGTAAACTCAGGAAATACAATGATGAATAAGGCAAACATCCTCTGTCAATATAACAGGACAAATAAAAGTTTAGCAAGAAATTGCAGTAATTAATTTGAGATAAGTGTAAAATGGTGGTAGGTACTAGAAGAAAAGGATTAATACAGGTGGGACACAGCTTCAAAAATTAAGGAGCACTTGAGCAAAGTGATGGTATTGAGAGACAATCATTGAATTTCTTCAAGGTGGAAGATGCTTTACATGAATTAATCTTCATGATATTTGGCAGTTAAACATTTTCACAACTGTGCTGATAAGTAAACTAACATGCAAAGAAGTGAAAAAGAAATTTGCTGAAGCCCACAAAGCTGACCTTTTAAAAAGCTGGAGTTTGAAATCAGGATTCTCTCCAAAGCCAAGGTTTCTCAGCCCCCATCCCATCACACCATGATGCCTAATTTCTAAGACAAAGAGGAAAAGCTGAATGGCAGGATGGCTTTTCAAAGACAGGCAGCAGTGTATACTAAAGCATCAAAGTCTGAAACCACTGTAAAGTTGTCTGGAGCATGACATATGGCAGGAGAAAACTGAGGAAATTGGGGTTGAAAAATTGCATAGGGATAAAAACATGGAGGGAATGGTGAAAGCTAAGGGGTTTGGAATTTTTCAATCAGTAATGACAAAACATTAAAGGTGTTAAACAAGGGAATAACTTTAATTGATCTGAACATTAGAAAGCTGATACATTAGAGGTGAGAACTCCTGGTAAAATCTTTGAAGGACTCACCTGATACGCTACTATTAAGAAGGATGATATGGAATAAAAGGGATGAATCAGAACTATTAAAAGGATATATGAGTAAAAAAGGAAGTTAAAGGAGTACAATGAGAAAAATGAGAAGGGAATATAAGCATTCTGAAATTCCTCTTATGCTGATATCATGTAACCACTGAAGAGTCATTTAGGTAAATTTATATTCAGAAAGTCCTCCTTCTTTTTCAATAAAACACAAATTTCTCATCTGTATTAAGTCAAATTTAATAAAATGGAACAATAAACTGTTCTGTGGTTAAATAATACATTGTGCTAAATACTGATAGGAAATTAAAGAGGACATATGAGGGTCAATTGTACCACTTTTTCTCGAAGCCTCTCTATGTTCTACTGGTGCCAAAAATCTCCTTCCCTTACACATATCTTGACTGGTTGTATTAGATTATTCAAAGCTATCAAACAAACATTTATTGGATAGGCAACATGTGTCAAGGATGGTGATTTAGAGTTGCATTGAAATGTACCCTGCTATGAAAGATTTTACGTTCTCATAGAGTATACATGCTTAAAACTGTAAATTACAATAGAAAGCAAGAAGCCAAGTAATAAATGTTTGTATAATAGAGAGTGGTGGAACAGAGTAAGAAGTAGTTTGCACTTCCTAGACGTAACAAGAAAACTCCAGGAAAGAGTAGATGCTTGTATAAGTTTGTAAAGAATGGGTAAAAACCTGGAAATTAAAGGTACATGCATGATGAAGGTGGAAAACAACTTGCGGGGAAATATCACTGCTACTGTTTTAAAGGGAATACAGAGTATGAAAATGTTTGGTAAAAGGTAGTTGTGAGATACAAAGTTTGAAAGAGAAACAAAAGCCAAATTATAAATGTTCTGCAATAGCATTTAATCTTTAATATCACTAAGGAGAAAAATATAAAATAAATATTAAGCAGAGTGGACAAATTTCACTGCTAAGCTATAAACCCAGTCCAGCAAAAAGACTAAGTATTGAACTCTGAGGTTTGGGGGACTACAAACACTCTCTCGCTTCCATTCTAGGAAAGTAAAGTCTCTTAGTGTTGGTAATTGGCTGGAGGTATCCTGGCTTGTGGGTTAAGTAAGTGCTAGGCTGACTGGATGGGGTCTTCTGCACATATGGGTCATCTACTGTAAGACTCTGGTGCTCTGCTGCCTTTGTTATATAAGTAAAGAGCCTGAGCCAAGGTGATGGCACCCAATCAGGTCTATTGGTTTCCATAGCCTGGGTGGTCATGTCAAGATGTGATAACAGAGTTAATCAATATATTTGGAAAGATGAGGGAAATTGCCTTTAAAAAAAAAAAACGGGTTTGAAGGACTGATGAGTAAACAGGCAAGACCACAAACTAAGAGAGTGGAAACTATGCTAATAAATAGAAGTAGACCTATCAGGAGTTTATGTGAGATTCAGTATTGAATTTGGGAATTTAAGGAAGAGGGAAGATTTCGTTTTGCCACTGTGGAGATGCCATTCCCCATAAGAGGGTCCATGAAAGAATGAATCAATAGGGAATGGAAGAGGGAAAAATAATCTGGTTAAGGAATCTTGGATTCATGTCCTATCAGGGCATCTAAATGAATAACACTTGTAGACGGAAGATGCAAATTTCTGAATATTGGGTGAGGGACAGAGGCTAAAATAAGTACTTTGTGATCAGGAATATAGAGAAGTAATTAGAGCTATAAAAGTGATTGGATAAAAATACTCAAGAGAATATAGATTACGAAGATAAAAGAATAATAATTGTTCAAAGATAAACAACAGTATTTCTACAATTAAGATGATAGTTAAGTGGGAAAACAAAGAGTGGCCAGAAAGGTAGAGAAAAATTACAAAGGAAAAAAGAAATACAAGAGAAAAGAGAGAGCAATCAACAGCACAAATGTCAGAGAGAGGTGGAAGATTAAAAAAAAAAAGAAGAAGAAGAAGGAAGAAAGTATAAAAAAAAGGAAAAGGATCGGCCAGGTGCGGTGGCTCATGCCTGTAATCCCAGTACATTGGGAGGCCGAGGTGGGCAGATTACCTGCGGTCAGGAGTTCGAGACTAGCCTGCCCAACATGGCGAAACCCTGTCTCTACTAAAAATACAAAAAATTAGCTGGGCGTGGTGGCAAGTGCCTGTAATCCCAGCTACTTGGGAGGCTGAAGCAGGAGAATCACTTGAACCCGGGAGGTGGAGGTTGCAGTGAGCCGAGATCCTGCCACTGCACTCCAGCCTGGGTGACAAGAGCAAAACTCCGTCTCAAAAAAAAAAAAAAAGGAACAGGATCAATACATTTCCAATCAGGTGGTCATTGGTGACTATATGAAGAAACGTTGCAACTCAGAGGTAGATACAGACTCCATAAATCAGTGACAAGGTCTGTGAATTAAAAGGTTAGAAAAAGGGGATTAAAATATTTTCTTTCACAAAAAGTATGGTTAGAAAGGAATAAAACACTGAGAGTGCTACTTTTGAAAGACCAGAGGTTCTTGGAGATTTTGTTTGTTTGTTTGTTAGAATGAAAGAGCCTTTAGCAGTTTTAGAGGCAAAAAGGATGGAGCCCGTTGACAGAAAGAAGCTGAAAGTGCAGAAGAGAAACGAAGCAGAGACCATGGTGATGGCCGAGAGCATAGGGAGAGGGAAGGCTTTGCATAGGAGGATGAAGACCTTACCTAATGCAGAGGCTAAAGTATACGATTTGTGTAGATGAGATACATTTGTAGGCTTAGGGAAAAAGTGAAGGGTAGTAATGCTTCATACTGTCTATTTTTGTTCTACTTTCAATGATAATTAATATGCTATAAAAATGACAAAGTTAGTTTAGTAAAAATTTAGAATAGTTATTGAAGGAACTGGGAGATGAAGCTGATTCTCAACAAGTAAAATGATTTCCAGGTAGGACTAAGTAACATCTGATACTACAAGTTGTAAACATCTGATATCAGTCTGCATACTTTTGCCATTTTATGTGTTTGCATTCCACATAAATAGACAGGGTGAGGGAGATAGTTGCGTTTAACCAGAGTTTGAGATTTCCGGTGTGGGTATGGTGGAAAGACAATGGCATTCGGTGATTATAGTGCTGTAAGAAATTAAGGCAATGATAAAAATTAAGATGAAAGCTGGGTAGGTGAAGAAGCAAGATGAAAATAGTGCTGATGAAAAGGAAGAAAACAGGGAGTGTCCGTTTGATGAAAAGCAGTTTAAAAGAAGAGGAGAGAGAAAGAGAGAGGGAAGGAAGGAAGGAAAGAAGGGAGGAAAGAAAGGAATGAGAGAGAGAGAGATGGAAGGATTAATAACTAGTTACGATTTTTTAAAATATGTATTAGAATTTATTTCATAGCTGAATCAATTTAAATATGAGATCTTAGGTTTATTTTGTTGAGAATTAGTAAACTGAAGTAGAGTTTACTTAGATTGTAGTTGTGGATACAAGAAATACTATATTTAGGGCTGGGCATGGTGGCTCATGCCTGTAATCCCTGCACTTTGGGAGGCCGAGGCGGGCGGATCACGAGGTCAGGAGTTTGAGACCAGCATGGTCAAAATGGTGAAACCCCGTCTCTAGTAAAAATACAAAAAATTACCCAGGCTTAGTGGTGGGCGCCTGTAGTCCCAGCTACTCAGGAGGCTGAGGCAGAAGAATCACTTGAACCTGGGAGGCAGAGGTTGCAGTGAGCCAAGATCATGCCATTGTACTCCTAGGCAGCAGAGCTAGACTTCTTCTCAAAAAAAAAAAAAAAAAAGAAAGAAAGAAATACTGTATTTAGAACTTGGAATGACTCCTAATGGACAATAAAATCATCTAACTTTGTGAGGAAATTTGAAATGGAAAGAAACATCACAACTATGTGTTCACTTAGTCAATGAATGTGAAGACTCACCATAGGAGATCATGGCAATGTGATATAGAAAGTGAATCTGATGTAGTTTTAACAGGGAGAGATGTATGTAAAAAGGAGAAAGCAATGCCAGCATTGGAAATCGGAAGCCATGATATTGTTTAGCTTTTGTGCCCCTTATTTGGAGACTAGTTTTGGAGAACGGGAAAATAGGCATCTGCCATTAGAAAAAAACAAAAGATGTTTCCATTAAGGTAGACTGGAGCAAAATGCTCTATGAAGAAATAAGAATACCTTAGACACACACAGAGAAATGCTTTGGGTGGGGTTAGAGTGGGACAATTTATTATGAGTGAGGTGGGTGGGGGGATGTGGATAGACAGCATATGGGAATGGCTGCAAGAAAACACAGTTAACTTGCAAGATTTGTGTGTTCAGTTGAGTTTGGTGTTAATAGGATGCAGGAAAATGTATAATTAACTATCCTCAAGGTTCTAAATGTTTATTTTATACAATGTTGTTTTAATGTAGTGGAAATGAGTGAAGGTCCCAACTGGTGTCTGAGCTTGAAATGTCTATGTAATTTCTAGTTTATATTTAGTAGACCTAGTCAAATTTAACAGAAGTGTTGCCACTAAAAATGTATTTGATGTCACTAATTTAGCTTTTACTACGAAGCATTGTTTTGCAGGTTACAGGAAAGATTTAAGAAACGGCTTTTTCATAAAGAATGACTGACTTCAGGATTGGGGCAGGAATGGGTTATGATGAACTTGGAACTGCTTTGTTATATCAGAAAGTAATGTTGGTAGATTTGATGGGGCCATGTCACAGGGACCTGGGAGCCAACATGAAAGGGCTTCTTCTGGAAAAACCTTGGACACTTTGAGCTCAAAATAATGAGGGACAATGTAAACCATTCATAAAATGTAAATCCATTAGTTAAAAACAACAATAAAGAAAACACCCAGATGGAGAGGAGAGAGGGTTCTTTCTTACAATAGAATGCCAAATAAAAGTGGTATATTTGGAGGGGATGGTGGAGTTGGAAGTCTTATTTTCTTACAATCATTTTATAGACTGCTTCAGTCAAGAATCATCACTGGATGCTGAATTTAGGTAAGGGGTTTTGATAAGAAGCAGAATAGTTTTATGGTTTTAAAGTCTCTTCCTATAGACTCTGTATTAGTATCAAGGAAAGAAATAGCAACAATGCGGTAGATAAATCAGATACTTTTGTATTTAAAATTAACATAAAAATGAAATTACCTGAGAAAAATGCAAATTGAGAAGTTCTACGACATAACTGAATGACACTCGTCAAAACTGTCCAAGTCATGACAAACAAGGAAAGGCTGAGATACTGACATAGATCAGTGCAGCTTAAGGAGACATGGCTACTAAACACAGTGTGCTATCCTGGATTGGGTCCTGGAACAGAAAAAAAAAATATTACTAGAAAACCTGGGGAAATCCAAATGTAGTCTGAAGTTTATTTAATTGTAATGTGCCTATTTTAATGTTTTAGATTTGAGAGAAGGGTATATGGGAACTCTATAAACTTTTCTGTAAATTTGGAATAATTCCAAAATAAAACTTTATTTAAGAGGGGTGGAGGAGGGCAGATAGACCTTGTGTGCCTTCAGATATGATACCCTATGAAGGACCCAATATCACATGTAGTAATCCAGCTGAGAATGCATAACCTGAACCTACCCATATGAAAACATCAGACAAACTCAAAATGCAGAGCATTTTGTTAAAACAAAAAATATTTACTGCATTATTCAGAACTATCTGTCCGATTTGAAACTGTCCATGTTATGCAAGACAAAGAAATGCTGAAGGAATACTCCAGATTGAAGTAGATTAAAAGACATGACAAATAAATACAATATAAAATCTTAGACCAGTTTCTATACTGGGAGGGAAAAAATACTATAAAGGACTTTAGTGGTTCAATTGAACAAAATTGGAAAATGAATGGTAGATTAGTAAAATGTATCCTGTTTAAATTTAAGTTGACGTTTGTATTTATATAAGAGAATATCCTAGTGTAAGGAGTTATACACTAAAGTAAAGGTAAAGAGGCATGATATATGACTCAATCTCAAAAGCTCCAGAAAAATAAGTATAATAGGAATATATACGTAAATATTAATATATATATATAAACATAAATGTTTATATATAAAGACAAATGGGGCAAAATATTGATGATTGTGTCTAAAGAGCATGTGGGTATTCTTTTCATTCTTATTGCAATTTTTCTGTGTATTTGAGCTTTCTAGCTATTGCTCCTATTAGCAAGAAACAAATTTATTCTAAGAAAGGCAGTGAGACCAATACTTTAGGTAGAATAATTACAGTACAGTAATATAATTTTTAAGCTGGAAGGAGCTCTCTGAGAGGTTGAATTTGGAGACATCTTTCATGTATGTATGCCCAGAATATTGAATAGGAATTGGCAAATAAAAGAAGTTTGAAATTCACATTTTGAAAAAATGAATGAATGGATGAATGTTCTTAGAACTTGCAGTATCAGCTACTAATAGGTAGCAGGTATTTTTCCATCCTCAAGTAGTTTGAGGAGGTGTTGTCTCTAAATTCATGGGCTAACATAAGCAACATGTGACATCAAGCAAATATCAGCCTTCGCCATCCATCATCAGGATTAAAGGACACTTGGTGTCCATGAATGTGATTAAGACATCTGGAAAAAAGTTGTATTTAGACCTACATAATGTCAAAGGTCTGGGAATTTCAGGCTGTATATGGTAGGTTTTTCTGACACATTGCTGTAGAAACTTAGGTAAAAACATGTAAGCTTTCATTTTGGTTTCTTTATCAATAGACCAGCCAAATGTATTTGCTAACAGGCCATACGTGGAAGGCAACAGTGGAAATTAATTTACTTCTTATTTGTAAACATACCACAGTAAATGAAAAACTGAAAATGAAATCAAATTTAGGTAATTTAAATTGAGATGTGTTTACATAGAAAAAAATAGATACATCTCTTTGATAAACTCTTAAAATGTGTGAGCACATGAACTTCTGTTGTGAGTGCATAGAAAATGTGTATTTCTTGTGTGTATAAAGACAGCTTCCTGAGACTTTCCTATCTCAGTTTAATGTCTTAAAATCTACTTAACCATAACCATAACCATATAAATGGGTTTGGCGTGTACTTAATCTCTTACTAAGATTTACAGAGGGTATTAAATAAAAGTCTGGGGTATTAAATAAAAGCTATCTGAATGCTCAGATAGCCACAACACTAGCTTTTTTTTTTTTCTCCCCTGCCTTTCCCTAAGAGGATGTATTTCTCTGAGTAATCTAAATGAAAAACATGATTTTATTCCCCTCTTTCTCTAAGAAAATTTCTATATAAGCAGCTGATATATTTTCCGTTTCAGTAACTGTTCTGTAATGGAATTTTAAAAAGCTGAAACAGAAATTTAGGCTTTTTTTTTTTAACAGCTCCCTCAGTGCTTAAGGTATCTGCTTATCAAAGTGGTTTTCAAAGTGATGAGTTAAATACTAGCTAAGAAGTGACTGGTGAAAACAAAGCTTTTAGCATTCACACAGAATGTGGAATTGTGGACTTTGCTGTTGCCTGTGTATTAGTATGGAGCCAATAGTTGAGGCTAAGTTTTATAACCCTGGGCAAATCCTTTTACAATGCTATGCATCGATTAATGGGATGGTGAATTGAGGTTTTCAATGTTGTCTTAATTAAAATTTGATATTTGGAGGCCTTTGAATGAACATCTCTATAGGAATAAAAACTTTGTTTTACTTGGGAAAAAAAAAGAGACAGAAAGTTAAGTTCAAGAGAAATTATTCTCTTTTTCTATTGGACAGTTTATCATTATTCTTTAAAACAAAATTTAAGCAAATGGCACCAAGTAATAAAAATTTCAATAGAATAGTTTGGCACATTACCATTACGATTACAATTGCATTGAAGGAATGTAGAAAACTCAGAATTGATTCAAAAATTATTACAAAGTTGGGTAATGGTAGGAAAAAAATGAAAAAGATGAAGCGTAAGAATAAAATGAGTAAAATATAGGAAGATTCAGTAGTACTTAAATATGTGGTAGCTTTAAAATTCAGATGACAGGGACTAGCTAAATTCAGCTTCCAATAAAGATAGACAAGGAAAAGAGAAGTCAGAACTCTTATCAGTTAGGCTCTGTGTTTGACTGCGAGACCACAACACTGAAATAAATAAATAAATAAATAAATAAAGTCTGAACACATTTTAACAATAAAAGGTTTTATTGTTTTTTCTACCTCCACAATACGTCCAGTGCTTCTACGATGGCTCAAAAGAGTCAAAGCTTCCTTGTATCTTTCTGTTATAGAAGGCTTTGTGTACATTTTTCATATTGAAGTTCAACTTATGGTACAAAATACCTGCTAGACACATAGCCATCCAGACTGTCTTTGAAGTCAGTAAGAAGGGGAGGGCTGGGTGTGGTAGCTCACACCTGTAATCCCAGCACTTTGGGAGGCCAAGGCAGGGGGATCACCTGAGGTCGGGAGTTTGAGACCAGTCTGGCCAACATGGTGAAACCCCATTTCTACTAAAAATATAAAAATTAGCCAGACGTGGTGGTGGGCACCTGTAATCTCAGCTACTCGGGAGGCTGAAGCAGGAGAATTTCCTGAACCCGGGAAGTGGAGGTTGCAGTGAGCTGAGATTGTGCCATTGTACTCCAGCCTGGGTGAAACAGCGAAACTCCATCACAAGACAAAAAAAAAAAAAAAAAAAAAAAAAAGGAAAGGGCAAAAAAAAAAAGTACAGTTCTGGAAGTTCCACTCAATTACTTCTGCTTATACTTACTGGATTTCTTTTCATGCAAGAGAGATGTACTTATATACATATATGTTAATATATATATGTTAAATGTTAATATATATATATATATATGAATGATTTCCCTATTTTACCAGATATGTGTCATTCTTAGAATTATTGGCTGCATTTTGATTTAAAAGATTCTACTAGACATTGTAGAATTGCAGGTTGTAGCATCTGCCACACTAATACCTACATGGGGTGAGTTAAATTCCTTGAACAAATTCTCGGATGGCTTGAGACAGTATGGAAGAATGTATCCAAGATATAAGGGACAAGGAAAATGAGGAAAAGGTTTATCCTTCAATTTTACCTACTTCTGAATATTCTCTACTTTCTCATCATTCTCTAATGTTTGCATAATCTTTCTGAAGGACATACAAACAATGTGAACTAAAAGACTTCATTTAGCTGTAAGCCAGCCAGTCTTTTACTTGTTTTTGTACAATATGAGATTTGAAAATGTTAGGTATTAAGTAGGCATTTAATACAAACAATCACTATTTTTACCTATCCCTTTTTCTTCCAACGTTTCACCATTAGCTACCACAAGAACACAGGTGATATTCCATTTTTTTAGTTAAAATAATCTTTTAGAATGCGGATGCACTTTCAGGAACTACTGGCCAGGAAATGATAAAAAGTGAGGACTATAAAGATTCATAAAGATGTTCCTTGAACTCAAGGAGTGTGCAGATCAGTGATGGATATAAACAAGACAAATAAAGTTAAAGGTTATAACTGCTATATTTTAAAGAGCTTCAAAAAATAGACAAAGGGTGTCTGAGACAGAATTAGTAGCTCAAAAAATCTGAGAAATATTTCCTTGGGAGAAGAAATATCTTAAGCAGTTAATGGTTCTAACTATTTATGGTAATACCATAAGACAGATATTTTTGCAATCCTACCTGACTGAGCTAAAACACTGATTTGGGATTTTTATTATAATAGAAAGTGAGAGTGGGAAGTTGGACTAATGGATACAATGTAGGACAACTAAACCAAATCACGAATTTGAGAATTAGTGTTACTTGGTTAAAGGTTAAAATATATACATGTGAGAGCTAAAGTTAAGTGTCTATAGCTTCCCCTTGATTCTTATTAGCTCAGACAAGAACCCCAAAATTTTGATAGTCTTGGTAGTGGTAAACATGGAAAGGAATATTTGCAAAAAGTGAGCATCATTGCCTTTCTATACTGTCAGCTACTGCAGGCCCTAGAAACAAATTATATCTCTATTTGAAGCTATGATTTCCATGATCAATAAGCAATGCCAACCAAACCTTGAAATTTTCACGTGTCAGCAAGTGTGCAATTTCTCCTTATCTCTGCTCGGATTATAGGGCTTTGGTTTTTCACATTTATTTCCCAGAGCTTAATGTGTAGGTAAAGAAGAGGAAAAAAATGATTATATTAGACACATGGAAGAATTGGAGGAGGGAGTGTTGAAAGTTCATAAACTTCTCTGAACTCTAACTTTGATACCAAGAACACGTAATTATGCAATTAAGTAAAAAGGCATTCTACATTCAATGTATGTGGAATGTCTTGGCAAGATTGCTATGCAGAGTGAATATACTAAGACAAGCAGATGCCACACGTTAAGAGGTAGTTTGCAAACAAGTATATAATGAGTATTCAGTTTTAATCCTGGCTTTTAAAACCTCATATTCTTTTAAAAGAATTGAGTATGGCTTGCACAATTAAACTATTATAAAGTTATATATAAAAAGATTAGAGATAATGAAAGAAGAACAGTGAGAGTAAGCTATTCTACACACCCAAGATAGGATAATGACATCGTCTCTTTTTTTCACCCAAAATGAAACTAGCTTTCATTTTTGTTATTATTATTAAAGCACTTGTACTCATTAAAAATTCACATTAGAGCAATCTAAAAAAACTTGAAAGAAGGTAGTGAGAATTACTCCATATAGTAATACTGAAAGATAATTATTCATATTTTATTATGTATCCTGCCATAGTTTTCTAAACATACAAACATACATAAATGGCCACTATTTTATAGTTTGTGTTTTAAAAACTCAATACTATGTTCTAGATATATTTTCATGTTAATAGACTTTAATTTCAATTACTGCATTACATTCCATTGTACAGAAATATATCTGTATATCTGATTCCCCATTACATAAACTTAATGATTTAAATTATTAAACATTACAATTAAACTCAATGCATGTTCCAGGCTAGCTGTATAGCCAGTGATTAATTTCAGAAAAGAGAAAGCTCTAGGCTTTTATCAAAATTGTTAACATGGCTGTAGAAGTGAGTTCTAGACTGATCCTGCAGAAATAATTTTGAGACAATATCAGGGAATAGGCCCATTAGGAGAATAGCTATTTTTCTCTCAATCTGTAAGTCTGGCTATCAGGAAGCAGTCCTTGTGTCTGTTAATTCCAAGAGGACAGTGCCTTATTTGTGATCCATATGTCAGGAAGCAGCCCCCACTGAAATTTTTTCCCGAGAACTAGAAAACTTCGGCTATGATCTGCAGAGTCAAGACGGTGCTTCTGCCTCCTCACTTGTGTGTCCCGAGAAAATTTTGCCAAGCTGTCATCTAAGTATCAGGAAGCTGCTGAGCCAGGAACGGTGTACCCAGAGCTTTGCCACACAGTAAGATGTACACTGTCAATGACAGGCCATGGGGCTTGCCTCTCAGCATCCACGAGACTAGTGATTGGTGCCTGGGATGCTGCCACTAGAAACCGAATGCTCCTACACTGTAGTTGCCAGCAGAACATGGAAGGAGCTAATATGTATTACATAGTCTCCAGATCACTCCTGTTTTCCAAATGTCATGGTACTGCACCTGCTTAGATGAACCCATCATACCCGTAATCCTAGCTTCAAGGCAGTCTATAATCTATAAAATTATAGACTCTCTGATTCCACAGTACAGACAGTAGGCTTCTCTGATTCCACAGCACAGAAAGTCCCAGAAGAAGGGTGGAATGGAGGCTAAAAGCCAGTTAACTATATTCATTAAAATTACCTGGTTTTAATGACCTGATAAGGATATAGACAGCCTGATTTAAATGTCACAATTATTGTTAGATTGAGAAAGTTACTGAACTTCTATCATTTTTAGATTCCTCAGTTATAAAACTGGGATAACATAGATATACATCGCCCAGAGTTTTTAATGATTAAATTAGATAATTTATATATAGTAAGATCAAGAAATTTTAGCCATTATTATCATTTTATGAAATCTTTGCAAATTTGTCTAATTATTTCTTTGGAATAAATTTCTTTAAGTGGAATTTTATCACTGGTAGGCACACCTATTTATGTATTACAGGAAGAAGTAAAATGTAAAAATGGCCAGATTTACACTGCTGTCAGCAAAGTGTGAGAGCGATTATTTACCAGAATAATTTCCTATATAGCGTATTGTAAATCTAATCTTGGCTTTTTAAGTCTATTATGTTGTTGTTTAAATCTGCAATACTTAATTAATGAGGGCAACCACATTTAATAAATGCATTGATCATTTGCATATCTGCTAAAAAGTATTATTCCTTTTGTTAATGTTCTATTGAGGGGTTTATATAATTTTTCTATTGATTTATGGGACTTCATAAAACATATATTTTAAGCTTTTGCCATGTATCTTAAAGTATTTTATTGTACATAAGATATATGTCATGTCTAAACACAAATATATGAAATGTTTTAGTATTTTAAAAAGGTTTTAAGATAAAAACATTTGTATAATATACTTTTTACTTTTTTGGCTACACAGTAGATTCACAATCGCAGTTTGTCTGGTATTACATTGAAGTGTGTTGGGTTGTCAACTGAGAGAAAGAGGTTGAGAAAAAAAGAATCTCTTAATTTATCTAATTGTATAGGTCATTCTGTAGATTAGAAAACAATTCTTTATCATGTATATTCTGCTTATTTCTTACAGACCATTTCTATGTATTTTATGGGTTTTTGTTTCTATTGTGGAGCATGTTTAAGCTTATTTTGTTGTATTTTTTCTGTTTATTACGTAAAATATCTCACTACAAAAATGTTAGTTATAATAGTTATCCATATTAGATTAATTTGGTTAAACAATTTCCCGAGGATTGAGCCTACTGTCAGCACAAATGGAATAATATCTTAGCACATTTTAAAGCAAAGCAATTTACAGTATTTACTATTGTGGGCAAGTGCTTCGATATAGTGATTACTATACATTCTTTTTCTATTAGACACAGTGAAAATAGTGCTCTCATGTAGACTGCATTGGCATATGAAAGAATGTTCAGAGGTTATGGAATCCTAACTTAAAACCATCATTTTTCCACCCTCAGTTAAGGATATTCATATGCAAATTAGAAATATATATATTTAATCAACTCTAATTTATACCTTAAAATATCACTCATGAATTTTTGCTTTTACTAATAATAAATTATTTATGATACACACTATAATTTAACTACATTTCATAATATAATAATTGGCAGCTCATTTAAGTTGGCATTTTGTTCCCACAGTCTTCTGTTGTATTCTAGAAAAATGTTGACCAAAATACCATTTCTATGAAAAGGTTGCCAATCCATGATAAGGCATCTAGTCTTTTGCAGTAAAATGAAAGGAACCAAATATTCTTGTAGTCACTAAGGGTGCTATGGAACACAAGACAGATGTTATCTTGCCTCTCAGGGTGTTGATATTCAAATGGGAAGGAAATGTGTGGGCAAACAAAAGACTACTAAAAAATCAATTAACAGGGTCATTCCTGATTTGATAAAGGTATAGAAAAAGCAAGACACTACAGATAGTGACTTCAGTTGGGGATTTACTAAAATTTGGTGGACATGGAAGGATGTTTCAGATGGGTAAAAATCTCTCACAAATTTTCAGAAAGGTCTGAAGGGCAATAGGTTTTGCACAAAACATGGAAAGTCAATATTTCAGCTAATCTTACCTAGATCTTAAGTGTAGAAAAACCATAAATAAATTCTGAGCTACCTAGGACAAGAAATATATTGAAAATATGTTTTTCCCAATCCATTCCTATTAATTTTACTTTTATATTTATTAGGAAAGATTCACAGTCCTGAGAACTGCTGCAGAGCATTGGTTCCTGAACATTCACCATTAGTCAGCATAATTACAAAGAAAATTAATGTACCACAATTTATGTATACTTTATTATACATTATATTAATAATTAGTTATTCCTTGAACAACATGAGGATTAGGGGAACCACTCCCCTGCACAGTCAAAAACTTTCATATAACTTTTGACTCCCCTAAAACTTACCTACTAATAGACTACAATAAAGCCTTCATTCATCTGAAGCTTTACCAATAACATAAGCAGTTGATTCACATGTTCGTATGCTATCTGTATTATATACTGTATTTATATGGTAACGTAACATAGAGAAAAGAAAATGTTATTAAGAAAATCATAAGGAAGACAAATATATTAACTATTCATTAAGTGGAAATGGATCATCATAAAGGTCTTCATTTTCATCTTCATGTTGAGTAGGCTGAGGAGGAAGAGAAGGGGGTCGATTTGCTGTCTCAGGAGTAGCAGAAGGGGAAGAGGTAGAGGAGGTGGAAAAGGAGACAGGTGAGGCTGGCACATTCTCTTTTACTTTATGGAAACACATCATAATTTCTGTCTAACTTTTTTGCCTTTTCATTTCTCTAAAAATGTTTCTATATGGTACCAATCATTCTTTCATTGTTTGCTTTCATTTCAGTGTCTGTATCACAGACGAGTCCATGTCATGAAAGAAGTCAAAAGCAGTCTTGAATAACTGGAATCCTTCTGCCAGATTGTCTAATGTCAATTGTTTTCTTGCACTGGTTCTTTAACATCTTCTTCCTCATCATCTGGGGATGGTGCAGAAGTACTCATTCCCATTGAGTCATCTTCTCTTAATTTCTCTGTTGTGGTGTCTATTAGCTCAGGCATTTTTGCAAGATCTGTATCTTGAAACCCTTCACCCTACCACATTCCACCTTTTTGCCATATCCACAATCTTTTTATTATTTCTTTGACTGGCTCTGTTGTAAATTCTGTGAAGTCATGTGCATCTGAACACGGTTTTCTCCAGCAGGAATGTATTGTTTGAAGCTTGATAAATTTCATGGCTTTTCTATAGCAATGATGACATCTTCAATGGTATCATCGTTCCAGACTTTCATCATGTTCTCTTCATTGGGATTCTCTTTCATAGCATTCACAATCCCTTTCATAGACACTGTGTTTAATGGGACTTAAAAGTCCTAATGACCTCTTGTTCTAGAGGCTGAATTCAAGATGTGTTTTAGGACAAGTAAACCACTTCATTGCCTTTGACATTGAACTCAAAAGGGTCTTGATAGCCAGGGGCATGTTCTGACTTCAGGGACAAGGCATAAATGGAATAAATTTAGAAAAAGGGTTCTCTGGCATTGTCCAGGCCTTCTTGTTGTATAACTGAAAGACTGGCAGCTAGTATTTATCTTTTCCCTCTGAGGCTCAGAGGGTAGCAGCTTTACACATAAGGGCAGTAATGATCATAATTCTCACTGCATTGCATTTGCACAAAATAGTAGAGTTAGGCTATTTCTCTCTGCCTTAAAATCTGTTGCTCATGTTTCTTCTTTACTAATAAATATATTTTGTGGCTTTTTTTCTCCCCAGAATAGGGCACTTTTGTTTGCATTAACAGTTTGTTCATGAAGATATTCTTTCTCCTCAATGATTTTCTTAATGGCATATAGGAACTCATCTGCTGCCTCTTGGGTCGCAGAAACTGTTTCTTCTGTTATCTTGATATTTTTTAAGCCAAACCACTATCTAAAATTATCAAACCATCCTTTGCTGGCATTAAATTCTCCATCTTTAGATCTTTCACCTTCCTTATATTTTAAGTTGTCCTATAATGACTTCACTTTTTCTCGAATCATATTAGAGTTTATGTGTATGCTTTTCTTATAGAAATCCTACATCCACATAAAAACTGCATTTTTAATATGAGGTAAAAGGTATTTTGCAAATGTACAAGGTTTTTCCACCTGCTGGTGTGACTGTAGCAACAGCTTCAGAAATTTCCTTTCTTTACAGTGGTCCTTACACTGGAGTAATTAGTTTTGAAATGTCAGGCAACCCTCATTTAGAGCTCCAACTTCCAGTTGGAGCTTATGTCTCCAACAGCTGCCGACCTCAATCTATGGTACATATCAAGCAATTCAACTTTTTCTTGTAATGTCATGACTTTTCTCTGCTTCTGGAGAGCACTCCCAGCATCACTAGTGGCAACTTTGTATAAAATCTCTGGTGTTATTCAACGTTTACAGTATTGTATTAAAGGCAATAAAAAATATGTGAGAATCATGAGAGATCATTCTTTACTGAAATATGTAATTTCCTGGAGAGATGAACTGTTCATATGGAGATAATTAGGATCACATGGTGTTTTAAGTGGCTACTCCCAACACTTGAGCTCACTGCAATAGCAAAAGGGGTGGCTACAAAACAATTACAATAATACAGTATGTACTACAGTTAATTTTATACAGTTATGATTTAATGCTGCATCTTTACATTGTTTACATTTCTCTCAACTAAAAATAGTGCCATGTGTGCATAAGTTTTGATCAATTTTAACTTTTTATAATAGATTTGTATATATTTTATGGTAGTAAGTGATAAAATAATAGCCACATTATTTTATGCATTCATGACATACCTTTTTTATTTTAAAAAATATTTCTAGGCTACATGGTTTATCTGCAAGTTTTTTCAAATTGTTACAAGTCTCCAAAAACTTTCTAATATATTTATTGAAAAAAATCCACATATAGGTAGACCAGTGCAGTTCAAACATTCAAGGGTCAACTATATGATTACACTAATATAATATCTACAGTCTAAAATATATTCGAAATAACATATAACCTTGAAATTTAATACATATATAAATAATGCTCTCAATATGTTCTTGCCATAGCACAATAGATCCTGAACACACCCAGTAGCTTTCCATGGTCTACTGCAAATTGCTGCTCTAGGAGTCTTTTCTGTTTTCCATAATATTGTCTTGGAGAAGAAGACAGAAGAAATTATACAAACTTGTATTTTTCTTCCTCTCACGTTACAAGGGATTTTAGATATGTAAAACTCAGCAATAGCCTTAGCTTCAAGATCTATGTTAAGAGTAAAGAAAGGAGTTAATTCTGATGATAAAAATACATAATATGTTGTTCACACCTGTATGTGGGGGCTGAGCTATGGATACACAAAGGCATACAAAGTATTACAATGAACACTTGGAGACTCAGAAAGGGGAAGGATGGGAGGGAGGTGAGGAATAAAACTATTGGGTACAATGTACACTGCTCAGGTAACAGATGCACTAAAATCCCAAACTTCACCACTGTACAATTTATCCATGTAACCAAAAACCAACTGTACCCCTAAAGCTACTGAAAAAAATTTAAAAAATAAACAAACATGGTACTTGCCAATGCACAAAACCAACTCCCTAAATGATCCCTGCCATTGCAAAGTAAATGCCGACAAGGTTGACCATATTTGTCATACAGGTTTGGAGCACAGAATCATTAGTCAGCTGATATTAATTCAGGGGCTCTTGGTAGTAACATCACGATATTATACCCAGCACTCTTTAAATTTTAGGGTTGGCAAAACTCAGTGCTTCGAGTTGCTATGTCTCTGTTAGTAGTCTTCTATGTAGTCCCACTGACAAATATCACAATAAACAGTGGAAAGAAGAATCATAAGCTAGATATTGATTCTTCCACCAAAAATGTGTCTTCCAGGGAGTTTTAAAATTTTGTGTTTTTAGTTTTACTTATTGCAGCACCTAATTTTCATGACAGCTCCTATATTTAAGTTTGCACAACTTAAATAACTGGGAATTGTGACAGTGAAAAATAAAATAATAAATACAATTTGCAAATATTCTAGCTGTGCAATCTAAATTCTCAGTAATTTGATGCCTTTTTTTACTGTAAGCAATAGGTTCATATTTTGAGCAACCTCCTGAAAGTGCTTGTTTATTTGTGATTAGCTTGATTCAGCTGTAAGCAAGCATAGTCTATTTAATGCAATTATAGGGAGGTCTGATGAAATACTTGATGAAGGAGAGACCAAGAACAGTTTGTCTTTTGCAGCTTCATTCTTTTTTGAAATTTGGATTCTAACTCTCTTTCTGTAGCCATTTCTTCAGAGCTTCTCCTTTATATTTATCTTATTTTTTTCTTCTCCATATTGCTAATTAAATACATTCTTAGGTATTTGGACAAAAATAGGTTCAGGGATGGTGGTCAAATTATAATCAAAACAAGCTAGTGCATTGAACAATCTTAGAAAATATTTAATCAAAATCTCATATTTTTAAATGATAAAATGACATTTGGAAAAATTAAATTTGTTGTGTGTCTATGTGTGTATGTCTGTGTTTTTTTCTCCTGAGGTGAGACAAGTAGTAAAAGAATCATGATTAGAATTAAATGCTTGATTAAAGGATTTTTAAAGTATGTCTATGTGTGTGTGTGTATATGTGTGCAATATTATAATAGATGTAGTTAGTATAATATATAACATATATTACAATATATTATATATATTATACATTATGGTTAATATAGGTAGAATATATTTTATGTATAATATAACATATTAACATACTAGATATAATGTATTATATATAATATAACATATATAACATAGTAGATATAATGTATTATAATACAATAAATATACATTAGTAGAAGAAATTGAGGAAGAGACATGAGACAAATATAAAGCCATGACTGGTGATTTTTTTTACCTAATTATGAGATAGTAATATTACAGCACTTGAAAATGTATGGTTATTTCATATAATGTTATTTAATTCTCTGTGTTATTTTGGTGTTTGTTTTTTATTTAGGGGGTTTCTTTTTGGTTTTTTTCCTCCCTCTGTCTCCCAGGCTGGAATGCAGTGGCACAATCATGACTTACTTTAGCCTTGAACTCTTAGACTCAAGTGATTTTCCCACCTCAGCCTTGCTGGGACCACAGGTGAGATCCACCATGCGTGACTAATTTTTAAAAATTTTTTGTAGTGATGGAGTCTCACTTTGTTTCCCAGGCTAATCTTGAACTTCTGACCTCAAGCAATTCTCCCTCCTCAGCCTGACAGGTCACTGGGATTACAGGTGTGAGCCACCACACCTGGCTAATGTTATTTAATTCTGATAATAAGATAGGTAGCTAGATAATATTGTCACCTATTTTAGAGATTTGAAAACTAAAGTCTGAAAAGACAGGTGACAGGGCTCAGGTCACAGAGAAAATGTTGAAAGTGAGACTGTCCCTGCTTAGAAGACCAGAAAGGCTGTTCTCTTCTGCTATATCACAATTTGCCTGGAAAAGTAATCTAAACTGAAAATCCTTTCTCTCTAAGGCCTACTCATTTTGCTTTCCTATTTCAAGGTTGGATATTCAGGATGCTAATCTGCCAACTTATAAAATAAAGGAATGGCAATTCTTAATTGAATGACAGGGCAAACTTTCTTTTCTAACTTTTCTGCAGCCAAAACCTCAAATCTGAATTATGAGGAACATCAATATGTTAGTTGTTTCCAAAGACATTTTAGAATAGACTTTCACAGAGGAGTCAATTTTATCATTTTATCATGTAAGAAGCTTAGGTAGAAGAGTGTGTCCTTTGTGAACAAAGTGCTAAGGCTGTGGACTGCCATTGTTTTAAGATGAAAAATCTCTTTTTTTTCTGTTGCATCCACATCTTATAAGAGAATTAGATGTCAAGGCTATTCGTTAAACCATGCTAAGCATTACTAATTTAGAGGCTGTTATTTGCAGCACACTAAGACAGGTAATTAGGAACATTTCCGTGAGTAATTTTGAAATGTGACAACTCACTTGATAATCATCATCAGTGTATCTTTGGTCTCTGAAAATGGCAAAAAATCTCCTTGAAATGTTCATTGTTATCTATTTCCATAGGCTGAGGACATGGCTTAATTACCTATGACTTAAAATTATACCATGCTCATTCAAAATTGAACACTTGACATATGTATTAGAATCCAAACTGCTCACTATTTCTGGTGATTGCTAGACCCTAAAACTGCTAGACTAACATAGGTCATTAAACTGGTAAGCCTGTTTTTCCTTTTTTTTTTTTTTTTTTTTTTTTTTTTTGAGACGGAGTCTCGCTCTATCACCCATGCTGGAGTGCAGTGGCGTGACCTTGGCTCACTTCAACCTCCGCCTCCTGGCTTCAAGCGATTCTCCTGCCTCAGCCTCCCTAGTAGCTGGGACTACAGGTGTGTGCCACCACACCGAGCTATTTTTGTTGTATTTTTAGTAGAGTCGGAGTTTCACCATGTTGGACAGGCTGTTTTGCTTTTTCAACAAGTTTAATACTTATTCTATCTATGCCTTATCATTTTCTTTCTTTCCTTAAAAACTTATGTGAATAAACCAAGGCTAGGCCTAAAGAATGCCATAAAAGGTCTATGATCATTTTAAACTGCTTTGCAGGCTTATTCACCACTATTCCCAAATACTGTATGTTTCAACTTCTGTGTCTCATCCCCTTTTCTCCTTTCAGAAAACACAGTTCTTGAGATCTTCAAGACTCTCTGCAGCTCTTACTTTGTCTATAAATCCATGTCTAATCCTTCTCCACCTCACTCTCAGACCTCATGCCCTGTCCTTCTTAGCAGTCAGTCACTTCTTCCTCTGAGATCCCAAAGGAGTGATATTTTTGGAGAATTATCACAATGCATTATGGTGTGCTGTTTATCTGTTTATCCTTCCCATTAGAATGTTAGGTCTTTGTGGCTTGGGAATACCTTAATAATCTTTGTTCCCAAGTATCTAGCACAATGCACATGTATAGTAGATGTTCAATTAATGTTTAATTGAAGTAGCAGTAAGACCCAGTATGCAATAAGTGCTTTTTAAAATCTAAGCACTACATGAAGCATTTTGTCCTTTCAATGATCCTGTCACTTAAAATTATTATACCTATTTTACAGGTGTGTAATTGAGACTTAGAGAGTTTAAGTAAATACTCTAAATTTACATAGCTAGAAAGTGGTTTGCTTTGAATTCACATGGTCAACATCTTTCCTAAAAAAGACAGTCAAAGTAAGGGTACCTCAGAATGTATAGAGGAGTGGGGAATTAGTGTCAGTTTTTCTAGGACTCAAAGATTACAGAATGAATGTGGGGGAAAAATTTGTTCTTTCGGCAAAGTTAATCTTAGAAGATAATCTATTTCAAGTTATGGCATTTTTGCCATGTTGCAGTGGTATTTTTGTAGAACATAAAAATGTCTATTTCAGTGCCATGTGAGCATAACTTTATATAGAATGTGAAAGTATGGAATGAGGGAAGGAAATGCTTGCTGTTTTAGCACCACATTGGTAATATGCTCTGAATATGATGCCTGTCCTTATAGATTAGAGGTGAAAACAAAACTCTTTTTGCAGCAAGGAGAAAGTACAGTTGATTATCTCTTCAGCCAAACCTAACTACACAGGTGGCTGTATCTCCCACCTGTTGTAATGTTTATATCTCTGACCCACTATTGGTGTTTCCCGCAAAAGTCTCAGAAGAGCCATAATTACTCTCTTGCCTGGGTTTATCTCACCCAACATAGTTATCAGAGAACTTACCCTGACAAAAAGTAGAATAAAAGAGGGATGGAAGTAAATGACACAAAATCAGATTTCTACTTTTCATACATTGTGGGAGCAGTGTATAGCAATGTGTGAACTTCAGACTTGGCTTTGGATCTTGGCTCTCTGCCTCTCTAGGTGATTGTGAACATACTATCGAATCTGAGTCACAGCCTCAGTGACTACTTCTGTCAAATGGGAGAATAATGTCTATCTCAGAGGATTCAATGAGAACCTGTAATGCACTGATACTCATAGCATTCAACATATACGGGTTGGGCATAGTGGCTCACGCCTGTAATGCCCACACTTTGGGAGGCCAATGTGGGAGAATTGCTTTAGCCCAGGACTTCAAGACCAGCCTGGGCAACATAGCAAGACCCTGTCTCTACAAAAAAGCCAAAAAAAAATTTAGCCATGCATGGTGGCATGCACTTGTGGTCCCAGCTACTTGGGAGGCTGAAGTGGGACCATTGCTTGAGTCTGGGAGGTCGAGGCTGCAGTGAGCCGTAATCATACCACTGCACTCCAACTTTGTGACAGAGCAAGACCCTGTCTCACAACAAACAAAGACTCTCTGTTTAGTATTAAATCTATGACTTGATGATCCCTCTTGGTTCCTCAGCAGAAAGATTGGCTATTATTCCCAATGGCCGAGTACTTAAACAAAAAACAGGGATTCTTTTTTTTTCTTCCTCCTTGTCAAGTTACATAGTTGAAATAGCCATACACTTACAGTGCTCATAATTGGGTATGTTCACCAAATAGTAATAACCAATATTTTATTTTTCTCTTTCTTCAGAGAGTTTCCTTTAGATGTTTTTAACTATATACCAATCAATTATTGGAAACGTTATGCAAATAAAATAGCTGAAACCATGATGGTACTTTTGGTATCACCTAGGATAGAAAATGATGATAACAGGAGGCTACATTGTATGGTTTGAGGTCCCTTCTCTACTTCAAACCAGCAAGGTAATTACAAAATCTATTTTACATGCTGAGAGCACTGTGTCATTTGAATAAATAATTCTACCATTTTTAAATATATAAAAATTAAAACTTAAAATTTTTGAAATATTTTTACAGACAGTTGAAGTCCACAGAGGAGACATGACTTAGAGCAAGTTTCCTGATGTTTTAATGTAGAAGGAAAAAGAGATTTGATTTGTTTTCTCATGTTCTCCTTCCTTGTCTTTGTCAATGAGAAACTCAGACAAATAAATGATGACAAAAATAAATAAATGAAAGGAAGAAAAAAAGAAGGAAGAAAGAAAACAGAGAGAGATAGAGAGAGGAAGGGAAGGGAGGGGAGGGAAGGGGAAGAAGGGAAGGGGAAGGAGAAGGGGAAGGGGAAGGGAAGGGAAATAGAAAGGTGAAATCAAGAGCTACATTAGTTTCCTAGGACTATCGTAACACAGTAGCATAAACTGGGTGGTTTGAAATAAAATAAATGTATTGTTTCACATTTCTGGAAGCCAGAAGTCTAAAATTCCAGTCATTGTCAGGTTTATGATTCCTCTGAAGCCTCTGGGAGATGATCTTTCCTTGCCTCTGTCAGTTTCGGTTATACTCAGGGGCTCCTTGGCTTGTAGATACATTACTCCAATCCACCTCAGTCTTCACAGGGTGTCCTTCCTGTGTGTCTTCACGTCGCATTCCCTCTTCTTATAAGGATATCAGTCATATTGGATGAAGGATCCACCCTACTCCAGTATGACCTTCCCTTAACCAATTTTATCAGCAATGGCCCCATTTCAAAATAATGTTACATTCTGAGTTACTAGAGGTGAAATTTAAACATGTCTTTTGTGTGTGTTGGGGGTGGAAGGATTGGGGGTGTGTGTGGCAGGGAGACACAATTCAATCCATAGCACTAGTTATTTCCAAAAGATTAAGGTGACACTTATGTAGAAAACATTAAGATTGAATGCCTAGCACTAATAGTGCTGGCCACACACATGCTCAGAACTGTCTTTCCTAGAAGACAGAATAGCACACAGGAGAGTTGAAATGAGTCACATCCCAAGAGTCTCTATGCAAATTCCCTTTACCAATTTGACAGTGCCTGTGAATGCAACATTAGAAATATTCAGTCTGAATGAGTTTTTGTGATCATTAAAATTTAAATATCCCTTGATAGGATAGTGCTTTGAACTGTTGGTTGTTTATACCCTTAGAAAAAATGAGGTTATCAGCTTTTTCCTGAAGACAGCTTTTTAATTTCTAAGGAGAAAATATTAGGGCACTGGATAACTACCAGTTTAAGCAGGAATCAACACTAGCAGAACAAAAGCTTGAAAGCAGTTGAATCAGGGATAGGGGAGGAGCAACTCTTCACAAATCTTGACTAGGCCACAAAATTACTCTGAATAACTATATGAAAAAATACAGTACTTCTATAATTTCTGTTCTATTTTGAAAACAAACATGACAATGAAAACATCTAAAAGAACATACACACGCCAAATTTATTCAGTTAAGATTAGGAGGGAAGGGAAAAACAATGTATTCTTCTTTGACTGAATGCCCCAAATTGTTATGCTGAAAGTGTGCTAAGAAATTTCCATTTTAGCATTAACTTGCTTCCTAAACATTGGAAGGTTGGTTTTACTCTTTATTTTGTTTGTTTGTTTCTGATTCTCATGTGTCTCCTGAAAGTTGCACACCTAAAAGAGCAAAGAATATAAAAATGTACTTTACAGACAGATTGGGATTGATTGACTAGATAGTAGAAATATGCTCTTAAACATGTCTGTTGTTTGTAAGAATGCTTTGTTAAAATTATGTTATTTTTAAAGCCCTAAATGGAATCTGTAAAAATGCATAAAGAACACACATTAATGGAATGAAATTTTATCTTAAAAAGTTCTTACTGACGTTTTGTCAGTACAGGTGGATCTTTATTTTTTATTTTATTTATTTATTTAATTTCTTTTTTTTTTTTTTTTTTTTTTGAGACGGAGTTTTGCTCTTGTCCAGGCTGTAGTACAGTGGCAAGATCTTGGCTCACTGCAACCTCTGCCTCCCAGGTTCAAGTGATTCTCCTGCCTCATCCTCCTGAGTAGCTGAGATTACAGGCATGCACCACCATGCCTGGCTAATTTTGTATTTTTAGTAGAGATGGGGTTTTTCCATGTTGGTCAGGGTGGTCTCGAACTCCTGACCTCAGGTGATCCACCCGCCTTGGCCTCCCAAAGTGCTGGGATTACAGGTGTGAGCCACTGTGTGTGGCTGGATCTTTATTTTTCAAAATGTAAATGGGTCAGTTTATAAATCACCATGGTATAGATGTCAACACCCATTATCATTCTTCTATTCTTTTCCATAAAATACGTAAAAATAGCACGAACCCAGCACTAGAGACTAGGCAGAGGGGAAACATATGGCCCTCTGAATATTGGCCCAGTAGAGTTTTTAAATCTGCATTTTAAAACATTTTTGATAAGATAAAATAAAATAAAGAGAAAGAAGACAGACAAGTGTGTTGGGCATTTGCACCATCTATTGGTGTGCACAGTCTGGTGTTTTCACAATTGAACAGTAGATTCCAAGCTTCTAAGGCAACACAGTGCTGATTGGATGAGAGGATTTGGTAGTAACTAATGAGCGGATTCTCCAAGGGGAACAGAAGCCTTGAAACCAGGTGTGTAATAGTGGAATTGGTTGAGTGTACACCACCAAAAGATTCCACAGGTCAGGGCCAGAAAGGACACTGTGCTGTCTTTCTCACTGCTGCATTTTTTTTTCATGCACATTAGACAATGTCAGTTCTGAGTCTGCATTCTTTTTGAAGTCGGTACACTGAGATTTTGAGTTGGTTGGTTCAGGGCTGTTAATTCTTCATTTCCATGTGGATTCACTAGCCAATAGAAAAGATGTAAAAACTGGAGTTTTACTTCCAAATTTGTCTCTTAAGAAAAGTCACAACAGGACAAAGGTAGATGGCGGAATTTGTGACATTGGCATCTCAGGCAACACATTCTATCACATGAGGTTTTTGTCACCACTGGAAATGAAAGAATACAAAGTCTTCCTTGTAGCAAAAATGAATGCTTCTCTGTGGTTTAAAGAAACTTTGAAACTCCCTTCTCACACAGGTTAAAAAATGGTTCTACTTGGGTGAAACCAGGTGCTAATAGATAAAGAAACCAAACTGTAAACAGAATGATCTAGCGGGGTACTCAGTAAGCTACATTTTCTATTTAACTCAGATGAGGTCATCTACCATGTAAGCACACCTTTATGAGCTTTAAAACCTTTAGCAATCTAATAAGCTCCTCCAGCTTAGCTCTATCCATTAGCTTTTGCTATTTATCCCTATCATATTGTTCATTGGTCCTGCACTAATTCTTCATGTGTGTCCCGTGGGGGTGGGGATATTTATGAGAGAAATGGATATTTCGTAAATATTTCAAATTTTTCATTGTTCTCTGAACTTATTTGTTACTAGCATTTTGTTCTCTGAGTATTCCATGGCATTGCAGATTCTGCGTTCTCTAGGCAGAATACTCTTAATATTTAGGACAAACATGTCAAATACAGGACACTTACATACCTAAAAAAGCAAACAAAAACAGAAAACTTTCTCTGCCAAACTTTCTTCATATGATTGATTTTGTTGTTCCATCCACTGGACCACCCTTAGAAATTTCTGCTAAATTTTGTCATGGCATTATTGTAAACATTGGGATCAATATTCTAGTTCTGGGCAATTATGCTAAAAATCCTGCCCGATAATGGGGTAAATAGGATGCCCATAACCCAGAGGTTTCTTTTTGGGAAAATAAGACCAAAGGAGCTAAGCAAAGCCAAACTCCATGCACCCAAATCTTAGCAGGCATACTTATAGCTACCAGTTATCTGGGCATGTCAGCAGCCTCGGGATTTTTAAGCTGTCCTTACCCCCTTGTTTCATTTTGACATGTGTCTTCTAATAGCCTGGTTTCTTTCTTCTTGCCTCCAGTCCATCACACTCCAAACAGTCATGCAACCGGAGCTTCAGATGATGGCTTTCTTTTACCGGGGACCCCTAGATAGGCCTCTGAGAGAGATCTGACTGCCGTTTCCCAAAACAGCATCCCCTGTCAGCAGGAAGCAGTTCAAGATGGGTCATCATCCCTATCCTAACAGCAGTTAGATGTACCTCTTCAGAGGGGAGAATGATAGTGGCAAGAGGCAGACAAATCCTAGGCAGACAGGGGCGGTTCCACAGTGAATCCTGACTTTCAAGCTGAAGACAGTTTAAAGCCTAACTACAAGTCCTTGGTAAAACCATGGGCCAAATTAAGAACCTCTCTTCCCTTTTGGCACGATTTCCTCTGATTGATCCACACCCTTCACCTATTTTACATATGTCTACACTTCCCTAATTGATTTTTTACACTGTCATGCTCACCTTTGAGTGTGTCTTAGCTTTAGCCTTTTTTTGCATACTCACACACCAATCAGCACACACTCCCCATTTTGAGCCCATAAGAGTCCCTGATTCAGCCACACTGAGAGAAAGACCACCCAACTTCCGGTAGGGAAACACCCTCACATCCCCTTTCCACTGAGAACTGTTTTGTAGCTTAATAAAATTATTCTCTGCCCTCCTCACCCTTCAACTGTTGCATAACCTCATTCTTCTTGGACTTGGGACAAGAACTAGGGACTCACCAAATGCAGGTACAGAGAAGGCTGTAACACTGTGGCCCTCCACCCTCTGCAGATGGAAGGCAGCTGCCCCACATGATGGGAAGGAGCAGCAGCACTTGGAATGGCGGACTGGACCCTGACTTGCTTGCTCATACACCCCTTCCTGGCAGGGGCTGAGTGTGCAGTCACAGTGGCCATGGGATCTGCACCACAGTGCAAGACAGACATAGCCCAGTGGGCCAAGTAGATGGGGCATATCCTGCAGCAAGCTTGGGCCCAAGCAAGGCTTGGGCAGGGGCATCACCAGCTGGATGTCTCCACTCTGGCAAAGTGGCTGAGAAAAATCCTGTGTCATTATCATATTGTATCATAGTTTAAACATTCTTTAAAAACTCATTAAGGACTATTTTATTAATTTTTATCCATTTGTCTGGTATATAGGATAGTATCTGGCATGTCTGACAAACAGCAGGCACTCAAGGAATGGTTATTGAAATGAAATCAGTAGGTGAATGAATGGTGATGATATAACCCAATGGACAGACCTAAAAATGTTGAAAGCCTGTTATTAAATTCCTGAATGGTAGTACCAGACTGGTTTTCTGTCCCACATGGCCATTTGTTCATTTGTTTATTTATGTTTTATTTATACATTTGTTTAGTAAACTTTTTTTTCAGGATTCACTCTATCCAGAGACTGGAATAGACATTGGCAGCATATCAATGTGTAAGACAGCATGGTTGCTCTCAAATTACTGAAAGATAGCCATGCCCATGGTTTATCTTCATTTGAAGACTTTTCCACTTTTTAGTCAGAGAAAATGCAAGTATACCACAAAAGAGAATACTCAGCATTACAGCCAGTGTTACAGCCTATAAATATCTCTAGCTGAAAGCGTGACTAAGACTCCACAGCTGATATTACCCAGCTAAGCCAAAAAGTGAGCTTCATACCCTCAAAGCCACCTTTGTTGTTTACTAATTGCTTTAACCTGCCAAGCTGTGCATTCCTGTTCCATTACTGCTCTTTGATTTATACTGTTAGTCTGTGTTCCTCTGTTCTAACAATGATGGCTTGCTGTAAAGGTGATTGTGTATTCTGTCCCTTCACTTTTCTATGAAAATGAAATGGTGCATTTTTAGAAGCTGTTTTCCCAAGGACAATTTTTAAATGATAACAACAACTGTAAAAACCACCATACAAACACTCATAATCACTGACGCAGAATTGTATCTTTAAAACAACTAACAGTGATTTGTTATATTTTTTGGCATGGATTCACTATTTTTGGATTCTAAAATGGTGATGTCTTGAGAACAGACCTAAGACTGACACTATTGGAGGGAAAAAAACCTATGTGTGAAAATTAGACGTTTAATAGTCCCTCAATAGACTTTTAATAGTCCCTCAATGTCATAGTGTCTATTTAGGAAAGAGAGCTTTAAGATAGACTTGCAGTTACCTGCACTCCAATTCTCCTGGCTATTGAATGAATTACATTGGCTGAGAGGGTACATTTCTCTTCTTGGTCATGGAACACATTTTCATCCTTATTTAAATTACAATATTTTCTAAGATAAATAAAATTGTATAACATTAAATAATAATAATAAGTTTCCTCCCTTAAAGATGTAAGATTAGGATATTACCAATATTTCAAATTGTTGTGGTAGCTGTGTCTTCAATTAGAAGTATAAATTTAAATAGCCAGTCCTACTTGTGAATTTTCTTTTAAATTTTCTGTGTCAGCCACTGTCTTACCTCCTCCCCATCCACATACTGACTGGTATAGCTTTCATGTCAAATATATTCTACAATTGAAGTACATAGGGTTTCGTGAAGTGTCCATTTGGCATCTCCTATTGAGACTGGTACGCTGGGAGAAGATTGTGGGTAAAGCATTTAGATGATGTAAACTCTTCTATTTTAACAGCAACCTGCATGACAATATGCTCTGGGAAGATGATTTTAACTGGCACTTTAATGAGTTAAAAGATAAGTATTGTAAATATTAAGGATTCTTACTAAATAATAGGTGAAAAGAAGTACTTATGATGACCACAGAGCAAATACAAGTAACATGTAATAGAGACACATCAACTTCTTTCTTAGTTAATTTAAAATATAACTATCTAGAAGTCCCTTAAATTAATACCTATGCAGAATACTTTTCCATGTTAGTGAAAAGATAAATTCTGCTTTGTGTTTAACCAGAGTCCCATAATCTAATAAAAATAGAGAGGTTTTAGCATATTTTTCTTTGGGTAATTTTTTTCCGTGAATTGTGATATTAAATACTTTAATGATTGCTTTGATTAGAAAATAAATTAGCAAATATTCATTAAATAGTTGTTAAATGTGAAGCAACAGAGATATATTAAATAGTAGACTTTTTTTCCTTTTGCTCAAGAAGTTTTATGTCAAATTAAGGAGATATATATTAAAACTACATAAATGGCTATGGATATGAAAATGTGTAAAATATAGTATAGTCAGACAACTAAGTCTATATTTGTAAAAAACACATGTTTATGTAAAACACACTCTACTGAAACATAAAATAAAAGGCTATAGATTCCATGTCTCTCTCTTGTAATCTTTCTGTCTCTCTGCCTTTCTCTTTCTCTGTCTCCTCCTTCCCTCGCTAGGCTCAGGTGACAGCAGAGGCCTCTTTCTTTCAGTGGAAATTGTGGTAGCCTGGAAGATACACAGTGGATGCAAGGGATGCAAGCTCAAGTTTCGTGAGAAGAGGCAGTTAACAGTAGGATTCCCTGTAACACTCATTGGGGAAGCACAACGGGTTGTGGGTTCATTGTAAGGCCAGTTCTGCAGTGCAGTTTGGGTCACTGTTCTTGGAAGCCCAGACTTGGTGCAGTAGGAAGATGCTAGGCCTTCCAATTACTTTGTGAACCTTCCAGCAACCTGTTTAAAAAACATACTTCTGCTCAAACAGCTGAGACAGCCAAATAAAAACAGCTTCTTCGCAAATCCTCCCACTGGCCTGCACACAGTGGGGGGTGTGTACTGGGGTAGAGCCTTGGAAATTCGCGCCATTTGCAGAGGGTAGAAGCCTGGCCTCTCCTTATCCAGGGTGGTACCTGGGATTCAGTCTGTGAGGCAGGAAGCCTGCTGGTAGGACTCTCACTTTGCTGAGAGTCTGTTCCCCCCACCTCCCCGCTTTTTGTTTTTTCCTTTTAGCCCAATAAATTCAATTTTTCTCACCCTTCAAAGTTTTTTTTTTTTTTTTTTTTTTTTGAGATGGAGTCTCTCTCTGTCGCCCAGGCTGGAGTGCAGTGGCTCGATCTCAGCTCACTGCAAGCTCCGCCTCCCGGGTTCACGCCATTCTCCTACCTCAGCCTCCTGAGTAGCTGGGACTACAGGCGCCTGCCACCACGTCCGGCTAATTTTTTTTTTTTTTTTTTTGTATTTTTAGTAGAGACGGGGTTTCACCGTGTTAGCCAGGATGATCCTGATCTCCTGACCTCGTGATCCACCGGCCTTGGCCTCCCAAAGTGCTGGGATTACAGGCGTGAGCCACCACGCATGGCGTTACCCTTCAAAGTTTCTGCAAGCCTAATCTTTCATGGTCGTATGACAAGGACCCCATTTTTAGCCGAACTATGGAGAAAGTCCTATAACACAGCCAGAGTCAACTTCTGTTGTGTTCGGCCAAGAGCCCTTGTTGGTAGAAATTGTTTGAGAAAAGAAGAAAGGAGAGAAAGAAAGATGTGCTACCTTAGAATGTATCAACAAAATACACTAGATCACATAGCTTAAGACATTCTGAACGCATGCACACTGTGTAATAGTCAAAAACTGGAAAAACATATAGTCCCATGAATGGATATGGGTATGAAAATGTCTAAGATATAGTATAGTCACACAACTAAGTCTATATTGGTAAAAAAAATTTATATAAAATACACTCTACCAAAACACAAAACAAAACGCTATATATCATTTATATTTTTGTAAATATTTACATATCCACATTCTTTCAGATCTACAGGAAGCAAGGGGCAGAGGAGAAAGTCAAAGTGGGTAATGGGCAGTTTAAACTCTGGTTTTATTTATAATGTATTACTTACAGGAAAATTTATTCCTGTCTTTCCAGTGAACTAAAAATAAATGTAAACATCAGTGTCTATATAATTATTTCAATAGTTATAAACAGATAATAAAAATGTATTATAAATAAGTACATATAAATAAATTTATAAAATGTTCATCATTAGTGTTTTAATTGAAGTACTATGATGAGATGTACTTCAATTAAATAAAAAATTATACAAAAGTGCATTTTGTTTGATTCAAGACAATGTCTTCCATAACCAAAAGTCACACTGCCTGACATGAAATTTTAAAAGACTTTCAAAAGGAACTAATTAATCTGGACTCAAAATGCCAACAGCACATAGTCTTTATAATTTCAAAATTTATGAAGTGTGCCAACAAATGAGATGACAAGTTTAAAGATGTTTGGTAACCAAAATAGCTTCTCCTTTACAGATGTGTTTCTATTAGGATCAAGACTAAGAAATATTACTATGCAAAGATGCGGCTTTTTCTCTGTCCCTAGAAGATGGCACCTACTGCAACAGTCAAGTAGGAGTTAAATTTACTTTTTAAATGGAGGTTTTCAAATTATAAAGCAGATTATAACTGTGCCCCAGAGCCATCTTCTTTTTATTGCATTATCCTTACATAGAAGCCATCGTGATTCTGATGGCAGAGATTAGCTTGAGTAGGTGGTACTGAGTTAATTCATATCCCTGTTGCCCTGGGAGACCTAAATTTAAGCTGCCTATTCTTTCTCAGGGCAAGAAATAAAAATGAGTCGAGTGCCATTTTCTTGGTGCTGTGCATTTCAAAACCTAGGCTTTGTCTCATTTCTTCTCTTAGAGCTACCATTTATTTGCATTTTTTCTACAGGGGAGATTTTACACTACTAACTTTGGTTCAACATCAGGGAAACCAAAAGGAGTTTGTTGAACATACAGCTTTGGAGTTTAGGCACTAAATGAATGGATCCGTGAATAAGTTGAATGATGATTTCTAGTTCATTCATTCACTCATAAATCATTCAGAGGCAGTGCTTTTACAAATCATCAAGCAGGATACAACCAGATTTAGATATTCCTTACCAAGAAAGTAAATGCCCTGAAAATAGGAAGTGCATCTGTATCTAAGTAATCTGTCATTTGAGAAACATTCATGAGGTGACTTCTCTGTGCCAGACATTGTGCCAGGCCCAGGGTATACAAAGATGAGTATGTCAGTGTCATTTCTTTCGATGAAGACTTCTAATCTGGAGTAGTCAAAATTAAAAATTGATACTTTAAAAAATTCAGAACAATGTAGAATACTTTTATGTGTTCTTCATAATTTCTCTCATGGAGCTCTCTCTGGATTAAAAAAATTCTTGAATGAATTAGTGTTTACATATAAAGTTCATTAATAACACAAAAGGATTCATTATCTAACATCCCTCTTTCCCAAGATCTTTGATGTATGCTGACAAACATAAAAGGAGGTCCGTAATATTATGCCATTCACTGCTGTAATAGGGTTAACGGGTTAAAGCTGGAAGATATCAATATCGTATTTGATTAAAATCAACACACACTTAATGCCTAAAGTATTTTCTGTAGCTATGCAAAGGGAAACCACTCCAGCTCTTTCACAGCCTCTGATTAAGAAAAGGGAAAAGACAAGAAACACAGTCAAAAGCTGCCTGACCTTTTGTACAGAGCTGTTGTCAAGACTGTTACCTTTTTGTACTTGTTTGATCAAAAATTGCAGCAGTGCTGCATAAAATAGAGTCAAATGATGGCTCTGCATGTAAAAGAGGGCTCTGAGTGTCTCTTCCTGCACCCTGCTTTTAAAACCTCCCGATGCTTCTGTCTCCACGGTAACAGTATCACCGGGATTCTGTTGAAGTGTGTTTTGAAAGCTGCCTTTACCTGAGAAGTTATCATATGACAGAACTGTCCATCTCTCCAGTTTGCTCAGAATATTTTTCTAATGAAAAAATTGGCCTATATGTATACAGAACCCTATACTATTTCTTCTTCTTCTTCTTTTTCAGAAGTTTGTGAAATATTCCAAATAAATATGATGCCCAAAGTGCATCACATTATTCAAAAGTGTTAGGGGCACAGTTTTAATGAATGAATAAATAGGCAAATTGTAGTTGGGTCAAGGCATCTGGATTATGCTTGCAAACTGCAGAAAACATTCATAGTGACAACCCTGGGTAAGGAACCAGGAGGTGTGTGTTTCTGATCAGGTTTTGCTGCTGAGTAGTTGTGATCTTGGTCAAGATGCCTTTGCTGGGACTTTGTCTCCTAGAAAGTGAGGCTAAACAAGATGATGCCTAAAGCCTCCCTTTAACTCTAATGTTCCCTTCTTCTCTCTGTAGGCTAGAACTCATTTTAATGAATGAATGGTTGATTTTGTTGTCTCATTTTTCACTGATAATTTCTCAATGCCTAATATTTTATCTATGATGCTATTCACTGTTTTAATCAACGTTCTCTCTCTAACATTCTATCCAGGTCCCAAAAGAACACTGACATTGACAATAACGTCATTGTCGATTTGCTTCCATGTTAGTTCATTAAGAAGTCAATACAGCTTAGATTTGTGCTGTACGATTCTGTAGCCACTGGCTACTTGTGACTGTTTACATTTAAGTTGAAGTTTATTGAAAGTAAATTAAATTAAATATTTATGTCCTCAATTTCACTAGTCACATGGGACTAATAGCTACGATACTGAACAACAAAGATTTGAAATACTTTTATCATTGCAGAATATTCTATTAGACAGCAGTGACCTAAATTGATTCTGATTTCTACCACAGGAATGTCCTTTCTAAGTCTTAAGCTAGGAGGAACACCAGTCCTGTGCCTGAGGATTCTGTCCTATCTATGAACTCCTAACTATATGGCTTTGTGTTTGGGGAGCAAACTAATATTTACAAAGCGATGTTGTAACACTCAGAAGACTACATAGCAAATGTCTAATACATACAAAAATCTCTAAAAATATTTCCTGAATGAATGACTAAATGAATGAATTAATTAATTCAAAGCTAAATAGGATCATTTATACCAAATCTGGAAAAACCAACTAAAATAAAAATAATTAAATAACTCTTTTTGTAACAACTGTTAAAAGAACATACCCATTGGAATAAAAATAATGCCTAATACGGCTTTAACAATTTGAAATAGTGGCTATAAACTCAGTCACCTACATAGGAAAGTATGCCATGAATTTTGAGACCATAAGTAGCAAGCCTGTACCAAACTGAAGACAACATTCTACTCATTTTCATCTAAAAGAAGCCAGAAACCTAGATATTTTCCTCAAATAGCTTGAGTTTAAATGTGGGCAAATAATTCTATATCTATCTATCTGTCTGTCTATCTATCTATCTATCTATCTATCTATCTATCTATCTATCATCTATCTATCTGTCAAATAAACCTTGTCTTGAAGTACACAGAATATTCTGGAGTAAAGAGTAGTTCAATTAATATATATTTTTAAGTTTTTCAAATCATGACATAATGACTTTCAGAGGTTAAATAAAGTCCAAATTTTCATAACTAAAAAGTGGCAATGTCAGGAAGTAAACTGCAATATTCTGGGATTGATTTTTGCTGTCTTTTTCTTCAATGATCTCATAGTAATAGCAATACAAATGTTAAAAAGAGATTCAAGAGAGGCTGTACATTGGGACTAAAAGAAGGATATTCCAGTTATTTATTTCTGCATAACAAATTATCCCAAACTTATTATAACCATATTTTGGAAAATATAACCTACCAAAAACCTTTTTTGTTAGTATTTATACAAAGAAACATTCATTTTTATTATTCATATAGTCATTTCTTATTTAGTCATCAATTAGTTATTAAATTTTTATTATAATCCAGTTGCCATGTTAGCCCCATAGAAGAATAAGACAGACTTTAGCTGCTTATATAACAAAATAATAGCAATAATTATTCAAAGTCTTATTGGAAAGGAAAATGTTATCTGCAAAAAACATATCAGAGAATGAGATCATTTTAGCCTGTCTCATATTATTGTAATTTTGGGAGGTTAACTGGGCTCAACTAAGTGGTTTCTTCTCAGGATTTCTCATGCAGTTGCAGTCATAAAACAGCTGGGATTGGTGTCATTTCAAAGCTTTCTCATTCCAATATCTGGCAGTTAATGCTGGTTGTTCTCTGAAATCTTAGTGGGGCTATTGGCCAGAACATTTATATATGATCTTTCTACGTGGCCTTAGCTTTCTCACAGTATGGTGGCTGGATACCAAGGATGAATTTTCCAAAAAAAGGAAAAATGCCATAAATTCTTTTTATGACACAACTTCAGAACTCACATAACATTCACCATAATCTGTTAGACAAGGCAATCACAAAGATCTGTCCTGGTCTAAGGGGAAGAGACTCTGCCTCTTGTGAGGGGCAGGGCACAACGATAGAAGAGCAAATGAGATATGTAATATCACTGAAGCTATTTTATAGGAAAATGCAATCTGCCATAGAGACTTAATTTTATTTTTAATATTTTTATGAAGAAGCATTTCCTTTGTTTATTCATTTATTTACTCATTGTTTCAATAAAATTTATTGATTTTCTACTGTATTTCAGGTAAGTTTCTACTATGTTTCTAGAAGAAAATAATACAGTCACCAAACTTAGGAGCTGATATAAGAAAATACTAGCAATAGTGTGTTCAAAGTCCTATTGGAGGGGCAAGGGTGACACGCAAAGGAAACACATCAGGGGATGGAAACGTGAACTTCTTCAATTTAGAGTGCAGAGGTCACTCCTGCTGTTATTTTTATTTTGTGTTTCTGTAACACAAAAAAATCAAACAGTACCATTCCCACTGGTTTGGTCAACACATGGTAATGTTGACTGACTGCTCATTTGCTCTTCATAAAGTGAGCTTAAACAAACAAACAAACAAACTCTTGACATTAAAATTTTAGTAATCTTGAGATTCCAAAAAAATTCAATTATACTCTTGATGATGGAAACTTTATTCTAGTTTGTTTTATTTTCTTTTATAAGCATGTTCTAATTGTTTCAAAGTCTGAAATCATAGGCAGTGGGGAAAATGTAAAATAATTGAAGAAAATTTTAATATACATTTATTGTCAACAAAATCATTTTTAATGAATACATAATAAATTTATGATTGTGTTAATTATCTACTTCTAGTTAACATATTATTTCAAAATGTGTGGCTTAAAATAATAATCACAGTTGCTCTTATTATCTTTTACCATTTCAGGAATTCAGGAGCAGTTTGGTTTGACAGTTCTGATTCTAGGATTTTCATGAGGTTGGCGTCAGATCTCAGCTGGAGCTGCAGGCATCTGATGGTTTGAAGTTGGAGGATCCATCCCCAAGGTACCTCACCAAAAGATTGTCAAGTTAGTATTACAAGTTGTTTCCTCTTCATGTGGCACCCCTCTCAGGCTTAATTGAGTATCTTCACAACATGTCAACTGGCCTCTCTCATAGCAATTAATCCAAGATACCAAGGCAGAAACTGAAATATTTCTGTGATTTTGTCGACCTGGGAAGTAACATACCCTCAGTGCTACCATAATCTATCGTTATATTAGTCAGGGTTCTCCAGGAAGACAAAACCAATAGAAGATAGATGATAGATGGATAGATAGAAATAAAGATGGATAGATAGAAATAAAGATAGATAGATCATGATGATGATGATGAAGATAGATAAGTAAATAGACAGATGGATGGATGGATGAAAGGGAATTCACTGGGGGAATTGGCTTATGCAATTATGGAGGCTGAAACATCCCATAATGGGCTACCTGCAAGCTGGAGAACTAGGGAAGCTGATAGCATGACTCAGTTCAATCAAGAAGATTTTAGGAAGCCAGTGGTATTACTCTCAGTCAGTAGATGAAGGCCTGAGAGCCTGGAGAGGAGCTGGGGTTGAAAGCCATTTTGGAGAGTGGCTACTACAATGATTAACCTGTATATATTGAAATATTATAAGTCACTGGCTGGGTGCAATGGCTCATTCCTGTAATCACAGTATTTTAGGAAGTTAAGGCAGGAGGATTACTTGAGCCAGGAGTTTAAGAGCAGCCTTGGCAACATAGTGAGACCCCCAACTCTACAAAGCACTTAAAACAAAAATTAATTGGGCAGGGTGGCTGTAGTCCCAGCTACTTGGGAAGCTGAGGCACAAGGACTGCTTGCAGCCAGGAGTTCAAGGCTGCAGTGAGCTATGATTACACAACTACACCGTTCTAGTGATAGAATGAGACCCTTCTCTGAAAAAAAAAAAAGAAAAAAGAAGTCACATAATATCATATTTCAATACCTGGATTCTGAAATTATGCTGATGCTGCTTGGGTTTGATTTCTTGTGCTACAGATAGGTATAAGATCTTCAGCAAATTACATAAAATTTTTACACTTTTATTTCCTGATTTTATATTAGTGGTCATAAAAACAGTGAGAAATTTATAAATGAAGAAAGAAGCACTCTCTATCATGAATTGTTGTAGGGAATAATGAACTTGTGTGTGCCTGTATGTGTGTTTATATATCTTATATGCAACCTGCACTCTTCTCTTTCAGGATTGACTGTTATTATTAATAGCAATAATCTATCCACTAACTCTTTAACAAATATTCTTTCATTACCCAAAAGATGAGGTTTTCCCCATACAGTGAAAGACAAAGTTCTACCTCCTAATCTGTTCTGTCAAAATATTTTTCTTCCAAACAAAATAATTTTGGGTTTGTTTTCCCTCCCTCTCATAAATAACTAACTCCTGCCTTTTGCACACTGCTATAATTATATTTTCCTATATTTGTAGCCTACCAATATTTCCTTTCATCCCCCCAAACCCCAGTATTCGAAAAAGCAAATCATTTTGACTGTATGTGATTACTTTTGAGTAAAAGATTAGGTAACTGAAATTATCACTTTTTCTACCTGAGAAGAGTATGGCTTATGATACAATTCCAGGGAAAATAGTGTAAAAATATTAATGTTGACACAAGGTACAACATTGTCATACAACTACCTGCACAGGTAGTGTATGACACAGTCTAAAGCACAGAAATGAGAACAGAGCGTGGGAGCAATCAACAAACCACAAACTCTACCCAATATAAATACTGCAACTGTTTCCTTTCTGGCTATTTTTTGGGCAGGGTTGAGAATGAGTCACTTACATGGCAGTTTACAATTCCTCCGAGATGCGTGTACCCACAACACAGGGAACTGGATGGGCTTAAACAATGATTGCTCTAAACCATGAAAAACTTTCATGACATTGCTGAGCATGGTGACTAATATGGAAAGGCTGTGGAATTATTCAGAATGGAGATTAAATCTCAACTGTCAGTTTTTCATTCTGTACCATTAGTACAGTTAATTAAGCTCTCGTGTCTCAGTTTCCTCATTTGTAAAACAACGGCCATAGTGTGTTGAGCCCACAAGACTGATGTGAATATTACATGAGTAAGGTGCTTAGGACAAGACTATACATAGTAGAAGTACTTGATAAGTGTTAATTTTTTAAAATTATTTTTTGCAATTACTCTATATTCTCTTATGGCATATAAAACTCAAAGCAGTAATTGCTCATAATTGGCCTCCACGTTTACCCTGGACTCCTCTTTGTGCTAAAGTTTGGAAAAGGCTAATAATTTTTCTTCAGAACAGCCTCAGATGAAAGGTCATTATCTCTTCTTCTCATATTGTCCAGGCTGTTGTCTCCTGACTTCAGGAGCTTTAAACCATCATGTTAGGTGGGCCCTATCAAGCAAAACGTCCACTGGAGACATATATGGTAATATAGGCTTTAATATAGAAAGAAATAGAGACATTACTATGTTTATCAGTAGGTACCATTGTATTCATCTCTTTTCTACAACTTGTCTGCCTTTTCCAGAGCAACTGTCCCTATCAACTGACCTTCTTGGCCTTTTGCAAACTCTGCCTCTCCTTTTATTTCATTTCTTAATATGTTTTTGTCTCTCCAGTGGCTAAAACACAGTAGGTCTCCAGTAAATGCGTATTGAATTTGTCAACAGAAGAGTGAAACTCTGTAAAATATTTGAAGAGATTTATTTAGAGTCAAATATGAGGAAAAATGACCTGTGCCACACCAGCAGGGGTCCTGAGAACGTGTGCCCCAGGTGGTCAGGCTACAGCTTGGTTTTATACATTTTAGGGAGACATAAGACATCAATCAATACTTGTAAAATGTACATTGGTTTGGTCCAGAAAGGTGGGACAACTTGAAGCAAGGCTATGGTGGGGCAGGGGACTTCGAGGTCATAGGTGGATTCAAAGATTTTCTGATTGGCAATTGGTTGAAAGACTTATTATATAAAGACCTGGAATCAATAGAAGGGAATGTCTGGGTTAAGATAAGGGATTTGGAGAACAAGGTTCTTATTATGGATATGAAGCCTCCAAGTAGCAGGCTTCAGAGAGAATAGATTATAAATGCTTCCTGTTGAACTTAAAAAGGTGCCAGGCTTTTAGTTAATTCTCTCCTGGATCAGGGAAAAGACCTGAAAAGGGAAGGGGATTCTCTACATAATGTGGATTTTCTCAGGAAGAGACAGCTTTGCAGGGTCATTTCAAATATGTCAAATAAATATATTTTAGGGTAAGATACTTCAATTTATCTCAGGCCCTGCTATCTGTCATGTGATGCTATACTAAAGTCAGGTTGGAATTTGGTGTCTTACTACTACAAAAACTCTGTTTTGTCAGCCTTAAGATCTGTTTTAATGTTGATGCTGGAATGTTATGCCTGAATTCTAAAGAGAGGAGGGTATAATGAGGCATATCTAATCCCTGCTTCCCATCATGGCCTGAACTAGCATTTCAGGTTTACTTTGGAATGCTCTTGGCTGGGGTGGGGGTCCATCAGTCATTTGAGGGACTTAAAATTTTATTTTTAATTTACAAATGAGAGGCCTTTCTTTCACAGTTTTATATATATTTGAGTTATATTATTGTTTGAAAATATTTAGAATAATTTCTCATTAATAATCATCAAGTGAGGTCTTTTTTACTCCAGTGTTTCTTTTGAACACCACAGTAAAAAGTAAGTAAGTAAAACTTTGAGAGATACACAGGACTTTACAAAGCAACGGAACTCCCATAGCTCTAAGCCAGTAACCTTGACGTACCTCTGGCAAATACTGTAATGTCTGTGACAGGGGAGCATGCTGAGAGCTTACACATGGTGTCTTGCATGGCCGGCAGCATACAGATTTCCTGCAAAGTAAGTGTCACTGTCCTGAAAGGAACATTCAATGATGCTTTGATTTAAAGCAGGCAATCTAAGGCTGTGAAGAAGCCACTAGGAAGATGGGAAATGTCCCCATAGAGACAAAGTTCAGTACCACAGAATGTCAGGTGAGAGGTGAGATGACAGTGAAAATGTTCCAACAAGACAATTCTATTGTCTATATAACTGAATGTCCTAGCCGAAGATTACTATAGGAGTTAGAGTGGAAAAAAAAAAGAAGAGTCCATGAGAACCACATTGAAATCTATAGCTTCTGAAACATGGAGGGCTTTGCCATGACACTGACCTCTTAAAAGGAAACACTAAAGAGGAATATGCTCTTTTCTGTGGTGTGAAGAAAATAACATATTGTGTGAGAGGGTGTTTGAGACAACAAATCCAAGTAAAGGTTTCTGACGCAGTATCTTTACTCCCTGTATTATTCCTCAGCAAGCAGCTGGTCCCTTTTATGAATATTAACAAATATTAAGGAACTCATGAGTCCCATGAATAAAATCTGCAAAAACATAAACATTTTTCAATGAGAAAATGAACATAAGAAAAAGACAAGTGAAAGGCACAATCACAATGTTATCCATAGTCTCAAAAATTGCAGACAACATGAGCTATCTTTAAAAAGAGCTAAAACATTATCAACATTCAAGAAAAGAATGAAAGAAAAGAAGATGAAAAGTGTGGTATCAAAACTCAGAGAACAATAGAATGATACACAAAACTGCGATAAGAATGAAAGCCATAGTAAAAGTAAGAAAAATAAAAAGAAATAACAAAGTTATGTTTCTTTTATAAATGTGTGTGTATATATAGATATGTAGCAACATATACATGAAATTGAAAGGAACACAGATATATGCTAGATAAGGGTGCTACCTGATCATTACAAGAGACTATTCATCAACATAAATATTGTTCCCCACAAAGATGGAAAAAATAAATAGAAGAGAAAAAAAAACTAGTAAAAAATAAAGCTTTTCTAACACAAAGACCTACATCTTAAGCTGAAAATAATCATTGTGTCCTGGGAGAAATTGATAGAAACAACCACATGAGATATATCTCGGGCCAGGCGCGGTGGCTCACGCCTGTAATCCCAGCACTCTGGGAGGCCAAGGTGGGGCGGATCATGAGGTCAGGAGATCGAGACCATCCTGGCTAACACGGTGAAACCCCATCTCTACTAAAAATACAAAAAAAAATAGCCAGGTGTGGTGGCACATGCCTGTAGTACCAGCTACTCCGAAGGCTGGCACAGGAGAATCTCTTGAACCTGGGAGATGGAGGTTGCAGTGAGCCAGGATCATGCCACTGCACTCCAGCCTGGGCGACAGAGCGAGACTCCATTTCAAAAAAAAAAAAAAAAAAAAGATGTATCTCAGTAAGACTGGGCACGGTTGCTCATGCCTGTAATCCCAGTACTTTGGGAGGCTGAGGTGGGCGGATGACCTGAGGTCAGGAGTTCCAGACCAGCCTGGCCAACATGGTGAAACCCCGTCTCTACTAAAAGTACAAAAATTAGCTGGGCATGGTGGCGGGAGCCTGTAATCCCAGCTACTCAGGAGGCTGAAGCAGGAGAATCACTTGAACTCGGGAGGCAGAAGTTGCAGTGAGCCAAGATTGCGTCATTGTATTCCAGCCTGGGTAACAGAGTAAGACTCCATCTCAAAAAAAAAAAAAAAAAAAAAAAAAGCTATATCTCAGTTAAATTAATAAAGCTGAAGAAAAAATAACATAAGAATATACAAGAAAAAAATTTATGAATTTTTTTGAACAGCATAGATGCAGGTGGTTGTTCTTCTTCTCTGGAGTGCAGAAGATAAAAGAATAGATACAATTCCGAGAGAAAGAGAGTGTAACCCAAGTGTGTGAATCAGGGTCCTCCAGAGAAACAGAACCAATAGGATGTATATAGGAAGACGTTTATTTTTAGAAATTGGCTAATGTAATTAAGAAGGCTGAGAAGTCCTGTGATCTGCCATCTATAAGCTTGAGGCCTGAGGAAGTCGGTGGTATAGTTTTAGTTCAAACCTGAAAGCCTGAGACAGAAGAGAAGCAATGGTGTAAGACTGAGTCCAAGTCCAAAGGCTTGAGAACCAGGAGCACCAATGTTCAATGGCCAGAGAAGATGGATGTCCCACCTCAAGCAAAGACCAAATTTATTCTTCTTTCACCTTTTTGTTTATTCAGCCCCTGAATAGATTGGATAATGTTCACCCCCATTGCTAACGATAATCTTCTTTACTCAGTTTACTGATCAAATGCTAATCTCTTCCAGAAACACCTCCACAGACACATCCAGACACAATGTTTTACCAGCTCTCTGGGCATCAAATAGCTCACTGAAGTTGGCACATAATATTATCCATCACACAAATAATTTTATGGACAGCCAAACTGGCTCTACTCTCTAAGGGCAATATGACACAGGATTTATTTTGGTGTCACTTCACCAGCCAGAGTCCTCGGTAGCCAGTGATGCACTGCCCGAGTCTTGCTCGGACCCAGGCTTGCTGCAGGAGGTAGCCCACCCACTCAGCCCTGCAAGCTGCATTTGGCTTGCCCTCCGACCTGGATCCTATGCCCAGCCTGCAGCGGGAGAGGGTGTGTGAGTGATCAAGCACGGGGTCTAGCTGGCTGCTCCAAGTGCTAGTGCAGGCACTGGCTCCATGCAGGGCTAGTGGCTGGGCCAGATGTGTTGCAAGTGCCTCCTGTGCTGGACTCCAGTGTCCAGATGAGAGGGATGTGGTGCTTCCTGAAAACTCAGAGACACCAAGTGAACTGGAATATGTTCACAGCTCTTTTAGTCCTGCTGTCCACAGCCAGACAAACAGGGGCATGTGGCGCCCAGCAGCTCCCTCTCCCGTTGCTTGGCGAGTGGGAGGGGAGTGCTACAGAGTTACAGCTCTGTTTGCATTTGCCATTCAGTGGGTCCCAAGTTCTTGTCCCACATCCAAGAAGAATGAGGCTAGGCTGACAGCCAGTGGTTAAGCAAGGCACAGAGTTTTATTGAGTGACAAAACAGCTCTCAGTGGAGAGAGGGACCCGAGTTGGGCAGCCCCCTTACCTGAAGTCAGGTAGTCTTCCTCCCAGCCCAAAGGCGGGCAGTCTCTCTCAAGCGTGGCTGATTCTGCGGCTTTTATGGGCTCAGAATGGGGGAGTGCATGCTGAGTGGTCTGTGAATATGCACAAAAGGCTAAAAAAAAGGGTCTGCTCAAAGATGGGCACAACATTCCAAAGAAACAATTAGGGAAGGGTATGTATATGTAAAACAGGTGAAGGGTGGGGATTGATCAGAGAAAAGTGTGCCAAACTGGAAGAGTGGTTCTTGATCCAGTTTATGGTTTTATCTGAGACTCATAGCCTGGTTTTCAGGCTTTAAACTATCTTTGGTTTGAAGGTCGGATTTCACCAGGGACCTACCCCTGTCTGTTTAGGATATGCCTGCCTCCTGCCACTATCAAATAGGAAAAAATATTGTCAAGTGTGTCAAGCCTCGGGGATTATAGCATGCATGTGTTCATCTTCAGAAAACTACTTGATAAGAAAATGTAGCCAATGATGAAGAAAATGCATTCAAACTAAAGAGATGATAAAGGGGAAACTGGTGAAGAGCTAGAGAAAAACACTGCAGTAATTTAAATTCAAAATTAAACAAATTTCCAAACAATGTTTGCATAAAAAATGTAAAAATTATATAGTGGATGCAAAAATAATAGAATACAAAGATAGATGAGTGGAAAAATATAGGTATCATCTAATCTCTCAAATAATTCAAGATAGTTTTTCTTATCTTTGGAGGAGTTTCCTAAAAAAATAACGTGCCTTCTTGTGAAGAATGACTTTTCTGGAGTTCAGTAATGCCTGTACCTTCTGTTCCACTTTGGTTCCTTCTTGTTTGGTAAAATTTATGTAAAACTAAAACCAAAGTGTTATTTTAAAATATATATATATATCTCCTGCTACCTTTTCTGTATATGTGTATATAGGCATGCAGAAGTGGCTAGGATATTGTTCACCAAATGTCAGTTATTATAGGTGGGATTTTATACATTTTCTTTTTTGTGTGTTTGTATACATAAACTAATTAGAATAGATATCTATAAATATCATTTCTAAATAATAACAAAATTGATCACTTCCTGAAACTTATAATAAGAAAAATATTTAGCTCAAACCAAACTGATTTAAAGAATGCTATCTCAAAAAAGAAGAGACAGCTAGGTAGAAGAGCCTAAGCTTAATTTAATTTGTAACTGTAAATTAAACTCAGCTCTTCAGGGTACCCTCATTGTGTGTGTGTGTGTGTGTGTGTGTGTGTGTGTGTGTGTGTGTTTCAGAAAATTGTTTAGGATTCTGATGAACAAACTACATCAGTATCAAGGTTTCCTTCCCAAACACTGAATAAAGCCTGTGTTATTTCTCATGCCTATAAGTGTGAGAAAAAGAATAAGGAGTGATGACCAAAGACAGATACTCAGATAATGCCCTTTGAAACTCAAAGTAGAAGGAAGGTAGTAGTCAAGGCATGCACCATGGAATCAAGAAGACTTGAATACCTGAAGCTAGTGCATTTGATGTTCTTATAATAAAGTCAGTCTCAGGGGACAGCAGAGTTGGAAATGAGAGAAAGGCTCATTTGTGATGCAGTCATTCTTGCTGTCAGAGATTTCATGGCTTTTCAGCAGGCCACAAAAGGCCAATCCACTAGAATATGAATCAGATCTAGTCAAGGCCTCATAGAATAAGTAAGAGTCATTAGACCTCCCTGTTTGGATCCTAATAGCTTTTTCCACCTCAGTAACCTCTCACAGTAAACAAAAAGCCAGAACTTTTTAAAATTCTTTCCCTTTGGTTATTATTCTAAGGGCCCAGGATAACTGTCAGAGATTTAATAGCAAAGTGCAAATCCATGTACCAAGTTTTTGAAATTATTTTTGTTTCCATCAGCTGGCCTATGGGTTTAAAATATACACCTTGGAAGGATCTGATTACTAGGCAGCAGGAAAAGTAAATGTAAAAGTGAAAGCAAAGAGATTTGCATCCCAATTTTATGCTTCAACACATGGCAAAGAAAACACTGTTTTTGGTAATGCGGATAGTGAAGGCTTCCTTAAGTCAAATAAGGTTAATAAAAGTAAGTGTGTTGTACCTTCTCACCTTTAATTTGCTAAATTGATTCTACTTGTGATCAAATATATTTTTTAAGGCCACAAGGAAGGCTTCCCATCCTATTATTGTCAGAGGTTTGTAGAAATACTCACGTGATGGGCTTGTAACAGTCACAGGTATAGTGCCACAACTTAAACTTTGCAAAACTTTTTAACTCTTGCCATGGATAATTTTAAGCATGCTATTCAAAGAAATCATATTGATTTGCTGATTTTTTGCTCCAATCTTTATCTTTAGCATATAAGAGACAAAACATTCTGTTTTGATTTTAGAAATCATACTGTTGTAGATTTTAGAAACGTGGTTTTACACTTGGAAGTCTTAGGGAAGTCTTTTACGTTAGGCACTCGAGTTTCTATACTCCCACTTCTGCCCCTGATACTTTCTACTGTGTTATAGCTAGACTTTTGCCATATTTCAGTTACATGCTTAGGCCCTCACGGTGTTTGAGCTCGTGATCCTAGTCTCTATGATCTTGGTTGTCATGTCCCATGCAATGCAACCCACTCTGGAGACTCAAATAATTAAGTGTGAACCTCGACTCTAAGCTACCTGATGTCAAGATCTATCTATCTGTATGTGGCTTATCATTGTGCCACAGCATCCAGCATAGTGACGGATATTTAGAAAATGATTAATCAATTAATTTTTTAATATAAAGAAAGAAAGAAGACTGGGAGCAAGTGAAGAATTCGGAAACAAATTATGATGTGCCATTTTGTTTGGTATAGTGGTTCGGTAGTGTTAACTTGGCTAAGCTAGAAATAAATACCCCCAACACTCGTTTTCTAGATGAAAATGTTTGGATAACTCCAGGTAGAGAGGCCATGGCTGTCCATGAGCATCGTCATCCACTGTCCATTGAGATCCACAATGGCACCTGGGGATTAGCTGACCGCTTTTGACAGTGCTCAGGGAAAGTTATTTAACGACTTTTTTTTGGATGCTCCAGCTTCCTCTTTCAGACCCTTCTTTCTGCAGGTTTTTCAATAATTGTGTAACCTCTTACTTCTACAATAAATCCCCCATTCCGTAATAATGATAGTAGTTTTCTTTCCTTGATTTAGCCCTGACTGACACAGCTTTATAGTTGCCACATAAATTTCTGAAATGCATAAAAAATTTCAAAAGCAAAAGTGTAACTTTCTCTTTTTTTTTTTTTTTTTTTTTTTTTTTTTTTTTTTTTTGAGATGGAGTCTCACTCTGTCGCCCAGGCTGGAGTGCAGTGGTGCCATCTTGGCTCACTGCAAGCTCTACTTCCTGGGTTCATGCCATTCTCCTGCCTCAGTCTCCCAAGTAGCTGGGACTACAGGCGCCTGCCACCACACCCAGCTAATTTTTTTCTATTTTTAGTAGAGATGGGGTTTCACCGTGTTAGCCGGGATAGTCTCAATCTCCTGACCTCGTGATCTGACTGCCTTGGCCTCTCAAAGTGCTGGGATTACAGGCGTGAGCCACTGTGCCCTGTGCAAAAGTGTAACTTTCTATAGTGAGTATTCCTTATTCTCTCTCCCTATGTCTCCTTCTTTCTCTTACAGACATACCCATTTTAGATGTACTTGGGTCAGGCTTTTCCAGCAAGATTTAATAAAACCTTATTTGTTTGCCAATTTTGATGAAGTAGTAGTTTAATTTTCACAAAAATCCTCCTTCTTGTTTACATAATGTACAATATGTTCATAGCCAGGCATGCATTATTAGTCAAAAGAGAAATCAAGTAAAAGCATGTGACTAGTTTAATTCTGTGAGAGCATTCTGGGTTCTGGGTCTTCTACAAAATTATCTTGACCTCTCTATTCTTTTCCTGAAGGACACACTAAGTGGTAAATGAAAAAATATATTCCTAATGACATCACAGCTTGGAATGTATCTAAAACATGTTAATTTCCCATAATGCATTGAATGGTTTTAATCTGAACTTTACTGATATTTTGATGGGCCTATGTACATTTTCAACTTCTGAGCCTGTTATAGAAAAAAGAATCTGATAAACATAGTATTTGCATTCTCAGGACATATTTTATTGAACTGAAACATGACTAGGTGCTCTAGTTTTATTGTAGGATAAGATACAGTATCATTTTCATACATGCTATGAATTTCATGGTATTTGAAATTTTGATTGTCATGTATCTGCCATTGTCATTATAAGCAGGGAAAGTTTCTTTCTGTTTCTCTCCTATATTCCTTTTTACCTAACTTCTCAAGTTCTTACTTTCCTGCCACCCTCCATATCTCTATTCTATTATTTTCTTTTTTAAAGGTTTATTATTGTTTTTTGATGTGTTCTCTAGTTGAGAGTCACAAAGCATCTTTATATCCTTTTAATCATTATTTCTTTTCATTAATCTATGTATATACCATCATGACCTTGTGAACGACAATGCTAGAGATGTTTACAGCAATCTTTGTGTAACTACACTATGTTTCTAAACAGAGAACAAATTTTATTTTATTTTTTAATTTCCTAATTAATGATATCTCATCGTTGTTGGGTACATTTGAGTAGCAAAATCCCACTAAGAGGGAAAAAAATAAGTAGTAGGAAATTATTTGTATTACTGTATATTATCTATCTGCACATTTTAGTTTATTATTCAGATATTTAACAAGTATCCTTGTGTTTTGACAAAGCAAATTATGAATTTTAAAATTATTTGATAAAATATGCCTCATCTATTCAATGAATCTGGGTAATATTCTAATTTATTTGAAATATATTGGTCTCATATTAGGATACAATGTTTTATCAAATAGAATATAGTAAAGATTGAAATGAAGTTCAGAGAAATAATTTTTAGGACCTAAGTAATGTATTACCCACTTTTTTTTTTTTTTTTTTTTTGATACGGAGTCTGGCTCTGTCACCCAGGCTGGAGTGCAGTGGCTCCATCTCGGGTCAAAGCAAGCTCTGCCTCCCGGGTTCACACCATTCTCCTGCCTCAGCCTGCCGAGTAGCTGGGACTACAGGTGCCCGCCACCACTCCCAGCTAATTTTTTGGTATTTTTAGTAGAGACAGGGTTTCACTCTGTTAGCCAGGATGGTCTCTATCTCCTGACCTCGTGATTCGCCCGCCTCAGCCTCCCAAAGTGCTGGGATTACAGGCGTGAGCCATCGCGCCTGACCTACCCTCTTTTTTACAATGGCCATGAATCTGATTCTAATGCTGTTAATCCTTTGGTTTTGCTGTCTGTAGATGAAACAATAAATATTCCTTATTGTGAAAGATTTATTGTCTGCACCATCATAATCGAGTCAATCAATAAAGTGGAATGTGTCCCTAGGCATTCTGCTATGCACTACACATTTTATCAACAAGTGCATATTAACAAAACACCTGAATCCCATGATGGACAACATATTACTTTAGAAATTTAAAATAATAACCATAGCATATAGTCTGACAATTAAGTAGCTAAGTCTTTTCTTTTTTACACAAAAATTACTTAGACATTTACAATCTGGATTCTAAATATAAGGTTCCTAAATGTAAAATGGTAGCTACTATTAAGAATTTTCAAATATAGGCTGGGTACGGTGGCTCCCGCCTGTGATCCCACCACTTCGGAACGCCAAGGCGGGAGGATCACCAGAGGTCAGGAGTTCAAGACCAGCCTGATCAACATGGTGAAACCCCGTCTCTACTAAAAATACAAAAATTAGCTGGGTGTGGTGGCACACACTTGTAATCCCAGCTACTTGGGAGGCTGAGGCAGAAGAATCACTTGAACCCAGGAGGTGGAGGTTGCAGTGAGCCAAGATTGCACCACTGCACTCCAGCCTGGGCCACAGAGTGAGACTCCATCTCAAAAAAAAAAAAAAAATTCAAATATGGTATTGTTGCTATCAAGTTAATGATGATAATTTTGCACATTATATACATAATGCTCTTTTTCCATACAATGAAACATGTTTCATGTTTGAACTATACCAGTGTATTTAACTTCTGCTATCATATATCCATTTTACTATTCTGTCTTATTGTACTAGTTGTTTTCTCTCCTCTCTCTGTCTTCATTCTTTTACACTGGTATGTGTAAAATTAAGTAACCAAAGTGTTTTGTCTTTATATTTATGTAATAAAATATTTTTCCAAATGTCAACTAATATCGAAGATCATGAGGTCACTTTCATCTTTAGTGTAAGTTTGCCCATATTAAATTTTTCATCATGTAAACTGGATTCATACTGAATTTTAAATTATATTTCAAGATTTTAAAATTCAAAGTATAAATGTTTTGTTAAATACATGTTTATTTACAAAAATAAAACAGTAAAAGGAAAAAATTATTCAAGCATATTATATATTAATATAAAGCCAGCAAAATATTGTTTTTTAAAAATACATTTTCTAGTATGGGAGCATAGTCATGATTTATTGAAGATTATACAGCAGGATACACGATTTGATTTTGTTTGTATTGAAAAAGAACTATATACTAAGATCTTGCTAATATTTATCCTTGGGTGGTAGGATTATTTTCAGGGCTCATTGTTTTTATTTATTCTTATTGAAATAGTATATATACATATATATATTTTGAGACAGAGTCTCGTTCTGTCGCCCAGGCTGGAGTGCAGTGGCGCCATCTCGGCTCACTGCAAGCTCCGCCTCCTGGGTTCCTGCCATTCTCCTGCCTCAGCTTCTCACAGGCGCCTACCACGCCAGGCTAATTTTTTTGTATTTTTAGTAGAGACGGGGTTTCACCGTATTAGCCAGGATGGTCTCGATCTCCTGACCTTGTGATCTGCCCGCCTCGGCCTCCCAAAATGCTGGAATTACAGGCGTGAGCCACCGCGCCTGGCCTTGAAATAGTATTTTTTTAAATAACAATCATTTTTATATTGAGAAAGAAGGATTTTTGTTATTTGGATGCGTGACCTATTTATTAATAACCCAGGAGTGAAGCTGTAGAGTAAGTATAAGTAAGTAGGAGAATGGTGTCCACTTAGGAATGTCTAGCTGACTTTACCTTACTTAAGCTGCCATATTTCAGGACGTGATTCTTGTTAGTGGTTGGGATGCACATTCATTTTCTATTGCTGTCATAAGAAATTACAACAAATTTGGCCCCTTGACACAACACCCATTTATTAGCTTAGAGGTTCTCCAGGCAAAAAGTTCAAGTGGGCTAGGCTTGGTTCTCTGCCTGGGGTCTCACAAGGTCAAACTTGAGATGTTAACTAGCCTGGGCTCTTATCTGGAGGCACTGGGGAAAATCTTCTTCTAGGCTTATTCAGGATTCTAGCAGAATTCATTTCCCTCTCACACTTTTCTTCTGGCCTCCTCTACCACTAAGTAAACTAAGACAGGTGAACCCCTGCAGTCAGTGTAGAAGCATAACCAGGCATGCATGACTGAACCCCTTTGAGGTTCTGTCTTTCAAAGCTAGCCCACTGTACAGGGAGTGCATTCTAGACTACTTTTCACCATCTGAAAAGAAGCCTGATGCTGCAGGCAGTCCTAGTTATGCTTGTAACTATGCAGAAGAGTAAGTAGCACCAAGCCAAAATACCTGCAGATGTAAAGCCTCATACCTTTAAAAGTTTCATAATTAAATGGCATTTTGATCTACATCTGTTTAACTTGTTTGACTCTCACTTGTTGCTGAACTTAGAAATAAGCCCAATACTTCCAAACTTTGCTAGTTCAGTAACTTGAAATTTCAACCCAACCAGAGTTGATTAAACTCTGGAATATCAACTTATGCAACCAAGAAAAAAAACAAGTGATTACATAAATCCATGCCAATTCTGGAATTCATACTGGGATATGCTTTCCCTCATGAACTGGATGGCATTTCTACTATCTAGGACACCATGTTTTCCAGGATCAGACTGTATAAGCATTTGAATAATTTGGTATGAGTTTTGCTGATGTGTCTGGACTGTTAACAAAGCAGACTAGATTAGTTTGAGAGACATCCCATATAGGTCATGGGAAAATTTGATAAAATGTTTCAGTTCTGTGTTAATTTCCTTTTTACAGTTTAGAATCAGAATTTGGGTTTGAGACCTGGCTTTACCATTTAATATATGACCTTAATTAACATGAACTTTTCTAAGCCTCAATGGATTCATGTCTAAAACAGATGAATAGTAATATTGCCTGCTTAATAAAGGAGTCAAGAGAATTAAATAAGATGATGCATTTAACTTAGTTACTGCCAAATAATGATATCTTTGTGTGTATGTATATGTACATATATATGTATGTATATATGTCTGTATATATAGAGAGAGATGTATGTGTGTACACATATATGTCTCTATATGTATATATATGTGTGTGTATATATATGCGTGTGTGTGTGTGTGTGTGTATATATATATATATATATATATATATATATATATATAGTGTATACATTCTACCCCATCCAGAGGCACAGGGAACATTTTATTTCTTAGTATCAGTTATTGGCTCTAGTAACTGTTCTTTTTTCATATTAGTGTATTCTTATGTAATTTTCAGATCTATTTGTAGAATTTATTCTGTTAGCTCTTATTCCTCAATTATAATTCAGTCACATTATTATTATTTGGTTAGCTTATTTGGACATAGGTGACTTGCTTCCCTCTTTTAAAAATTCTTTTTCCTCTCTTACATGATTTCATAGAATGATACATTTTTTTCTGTACTTCATCAAAGTTGTAATTTTTATTTCTGCATAAGGAACAATGCCCATGTTGTTTACTGCAATATCTAACAACCAACACATTGTCAAGTGCGTAGTTGGTGTTCAATAAATATTACATAACAAAGAGTAAATGAATGAATTAATGGATGCATTAAAACTTTCCTAATCGGATTATATCTTGCTGCAATCTAAAAATACATTATTTCAAGTTTGAGGGTACTCTTTACTATTTTTCTTCCAGATTCACTGGTAAATGACTTGAGTGGTATCAGCTTAGGATCATGAATTCAGATGCTTACAAAGTCCAAAAAGTAATACAAAGGATGTAAAATGGGCCATGAGTAAAATGACAGATGACAATTGACATTCTGTCTCCATATCAGGGAGGCAGTAAATTGTGGTAGGAATTGTAAATGGAAAGGCACGCCTTGTGTAAAGATGAGAGACTCTTCTCAGCAACAGCTGATCTTTGCTACATAAAACTTCAAGCCTATAATTATCAAATTGCTCAAGAGAAGTCAGAAATGTATCTTTTTATGAAATATCTTTTTTTAATGTTGTAAACAAATTAAAACATAAATACGGTACCATCATTTTGTTGGCTGACCTAGGTTGTAGTGTTAGATGTGACACAGGAACTCCTGGGTTTTGCCTCTGGCTTAGCCAAGCAATCGCACAGTTCTCTCCTTATATTATATAGATCATTGTATTCTGACATAATGTTTAGTGGCACATACCCAATGGGCAGTGCTAACTGGCAAAAATTATGTGTGAATGAGACAGATCAGTGGGTTGCTTACCCTAACTGTTTAGAATATCTGATTGACTTAATTCCCACCTGATGAGTTTTCAAGTCAGATTGATTTTCTAATTGTTCTTTCATTTTTAAAGCCACAAAATATTAAAAAAGAAAATGCAGCTTTTCCACAACTATTTAAAACATATTCCTGGCCAGGCGCAGTGGCTCACACCTGTAATCCCAGCACTTTGGGAGGCTGAGGTGGGCGGATCACGAGGTCAGGAGATCGAGACTATCCTAACACGGTGAAACCCCGTCTCTACTAAAAATACAAAAAATTAGCCGAGCATGGTGGCGGGCGCCAGTAGTCCCAGCTACTCGGGAGGCTGAGGCAGGAGAATGGCGTGAACCCGGGAGGTGGAGCCAAGATCGCACCACTGCACTCCAGCCTGGGCGACAGAGCGAGACTCCGTCTCAAAAAAAAAAAAAAATATATATGTATATATATATATACGTATATATATATGTATATATATATGTATATATGTATATATATGTATATATATGTGTATATATGTATATATGTATATATGTATATATATGTGTATATATATGTATATATATGTGTGTATATATATATAGTCTTAAAGCTGTGCTGCGAGCATGTGTAGATGCTAACATCAGCATCATTTTTTGTTGTTGTTGATTTGGAAGTTATGCTCCCTTCCTCAGGGGAAAATTTTGTTTGAAAGGCCTGTTTTTCTTCCTCTGCTACGCTGCAAAGGAAAAAAGTATGAGTCTCTCAGCCCTCAAACAGCTGATCCCTGCGACACTACTTTGGTAGCTCCAGAACCTTCTCAGATTTTCCTCAGGGGTGAGGAATGCAGAAAAAGAAGCACGGTGGTGGGTGATAGTAAAGACTCATCGCTTTGGCTTCAAGTAGAACCTCTATTGGTTTATGCTTCCTGATAATTTTTTTTTAAGTGAGTGAATATATTGTTTATTCAGGTATGATTCCTTTGCTATCACAATTTCTTTTTTTGGTACAAAATAAATGTATTGCCAATTAAATTTTTATTCAGTAAAAGACATTTTTTTTTTATAGCAGCTTTAGGTTCACAGCAATACTGAGTAGAAGGTACAGAGATTTCCTGTATGTCACCTGCCCTGGAGCTAAACATCTACTACACATGGACATAAAGACAGGAACAAGAGGCCCTAGGGACTACTAGAGGGAGGAGGTAGGGAGGGGAGTGCAGGCTGAAAAACGACCTACAAAGCGCTATCCTCACTACCTGTGTGAGGAGATTACCCATACCCCAAACCCCAGCATCATGCAAAAGATCCATGTAACATACCTGCAAATGTACCCACTGAATCTAAAATAAAAGTTAAAAGGGACTGACCCCCCTAAATGTTGATAGTGAAGGCGTCTCATCCAATTCTTATCATTGACGAAAAGGCTTCAATAAATAAATAACTGTAAGTTAGTGATAGTGGCAGGAAGCAGACAGATTCTGGGCAGACAGCGGCGGGTCTCCAGTGAAACCCCACCTTTAAGCCAAAAACAGTCTGAAACCTGCAACCCAGAGTAAGCACTTCTATTCCTGGTTGTCTGCTCTTTCTTGATTCGTTCTTTCTGAATGCTTTTTAACCCATCAAATATTACCTTTTCCAAAGCTACCTAGGGCCTGATCCTCCCCATTCTGTCCCCATAAAAGTCCCGGACCCAGCCACACTTGAGAGAGAAAAAAAATCACGAAATTCAGGTGTTCGACTCACCTTGGTGTCACCTCTCCACGGAGAGCTGTTTTGTTGCTCAATAAAATTGTTCTCTGCCTTCCTCACTCTTCTCGTCAGTGTGATCTCATCCTTCTTGGACGTGGGACAAGAACTCGGCACCCACTGAGCGTGGGCACAAAGAAGGCTGTAACCTCGTGGCTCTCTGCCCTCCGCTGGTGGGGGCAGCTGCCCCACACGATGGAAGCAGTGGCGGGGCTGAGCCAGGCCCAGGAGTTGTAGGCCAGAGCGGGACAAGGGCTGATAGAGCTGAGGACAGCTGGACTAAAAGAGCTCATTAGTGCTCTGTAACACCCCCTCTGGGGCTTCAGGGTCACGGGCACCCCTGCCTGGGCGTCACTGCCTTCCCCTTGCCTGGACACGAGAGTCCACCACGGGAGTGGCTTGCAACACGCCTGGTCCAGCCGCAAGCACTGCACGGAGCCTGTCTCTGTGAATGCACTTGGAACGGCGGACTGGACCCCACACTCACTTATTCACACATCCCCTCCCACCGGGAGCTGAGCAGGCTGTTGCAGTGACCCCAGGACCCACGCTGGAGTCCAGGACTGGGCAAGGGCGTCACTGGCCGGGGGTCTCTGGCTGATAAGTGACAGAAAAATCCTACATCATTTTTTAAAAGTATATCTCCAGGACATTGTACTCTCTTTGCTATGAACTACTCCTAAGACTCCGTTTCTGACCTGTAAAATTTTCTCATAGTGTATATATTTCTTAGTTGCCCCAAATTACAGTAACTCCTTTTTTTTTTTTTGAGTCAAGATGTCTTCTACTTCCCTAGTTGGCAGAGAAATGAAATTTAAAAATTCAGATAACATTATCTACACTACTAATTTGTGTAAATTTTCAAAATGACTTCATGTAGCATTTGGAAGGTTTGGGTAGTTGATATACTCAAAAATTTTCTAATGGGAGTATGTATTGGAAAAATTCTTTGAGGGTAATTTAGCAAAATGCACTGGGCTCCTTAAAAGGTTTCATAATTTTTGTCTCAGCAAGTCTGCTTTTAGTGATTCATTCTAAAGAAATACATTTTTAAAAAAGAATTCTCCACAAGGATGTATATTGCAGAATTTTTAATATATTGAAAAATTTGAAATGATGTAATATATTCTTATAGAAGATTTATTAATTGTTATAAAACCACACCATGTAATACTAATATTCTTTACATATTAGATAAGAATAAAAGAAGAAAAATATGGAAGTATAATGTAATATCAGTTTTGAATTTAACATTTTTCTTGCGCAAACAATTTAATTTATAGCAGTTACCCCTAAGAAGGAGAATTATGGGTAATGAAAAATTCTTCATTTTTAGTTTTCTGCTTTTCCTAGGCATTCTACAATGAACATGTTTTCTATAGCCTCCCCAACCTACAAAAAATAAGATGTTGTTACATAAAAGTGATTAAGACCCAATGAAAGGATGAACCAAAAGGAAAATTTTGTATCAAATTATTTTGTGTAGCTTTAATTGCTAATGACCCAGTTAAGTTGTAGAAGATGTAAGTTTTCATGAAATGGACTCTTGTGTCAACGGGTTCTAGAACTGAAGAGGCTCTCTCACTGTGAGGGGCACACACAGTGGAGTCACTTTGCCAAAGACTGCAGGACTGATTAATGTCCTAGTCCAAATTAGTTACTATTGCTCCAGTTGTTATTTTACTTCAAGTATTAAATTGTATATCTTTACCATCAAAGTAGTTTATGTTCTTAAAGGCCATAGTTCCCAAAACAAGAGACTTTTCAACAAGGCAACTGACTAAAAAACACTTTTATCAGAACTTTAAGTAAAAATTGTGAACAAAAATAAGCTAGAAAATGTTTGGAAAGACTTCCAAAAATATGACTTTTTGTTCAATAACCTTTGATTTTTTTTTGTTATTTCATATCTACTAATAACTGACACCATGATGAATTCAGTTAGTTATAGAACACATTTAATATATAATTTAATTGAATTTCCAACATAGTAGGACATGTATTATTCTGAGGGAGAAAAAAGTCCAAATTTACTGAGGTTGATATATGCATCAGGATATTCTTGAAAGAGTAATTCAGAATTCTTTATTCAAGTCTGACTTCAAAGCACCACTGTTAGATAAAGCAAGGCAGAGTGTAATTAAAACCAGTTAAATTCAAACAAAAGCAAAATTATTTAAGTATATTCATCATCCAGTTGAAATCTTATTATTAAATTCATTCCTTCCTAGTTTCAACGAACATCAGTTTGTTAGCCCAGAATACATCTTACGGTGAGAGGCTGGTGGGAAGGAGATTACGCCATTGCAGAGCTCTATTACTTCTGAAAGCTTAAAATAACATGGACAATGAAAAGCACAGCTTATGATTAAAACCACAAATGCTAATATGTTTATAAATTTGTCCCCAGTGACAAAGATCACAAAGTATGTGGCATTTACCATTATGTACCTGAACATACCATGTGTACATATTGGCTTACCATAATTGTATTTTATTTTGTTTTGTTTTTACCATTTCTCATAACTTTTTTCCTTAAATCATTAACCAACTGCAGTGAAGACAATAACATTTTTAAAAGCTTTTGTTTCTCTCTGAATGTGTATTTCACAATTTTATTTTTTTAAATAAATTTTATTGTATACACTTAAGGTATACAACATCTTATAAGATGTGTATGTACATACACACACACACACGCACACACACATATATATAGCCAAATGATTATTATAGTGAAACAAATTTACATATCCATCATCTCACAGTTACTCATATCCCTCCATGGCAAGAACAGCCATAATCTACTTATTTAACAAACATCCTGAATACAGTACATTATTATTAAGTATTGTTCACACATTGGGCATTAGATCTTTAGACTCATTCATCCTACACCTGCTACTTTTCATCCTTTGACATACATTTCCCCAGTCTCTCACCTACACCCACAGCCCCTGGCAACTACTGTTTTATTCTCTCTTATATTTTATTTTATTTTATTTTTAAAATTTCCACATATAAGTCGATCATGCAATATCATACAGTATTTTTCTTTTTGTGTCTGGCTTATTTAATTTAGCATAATGTCCTTTAGGTCCATCCATGTTGTGGCAAATGGCAGGAGCTCCTTTTTTAAGGCTACATACTATTCCATTATATATCTATACCACAGTTTTTTTTATCTCTGTCGACAGACACTTATGTGTTTTAAAGCTGCAATGAACATGGGAGTGTAGATATATTTATGTGGTGGTATTTTTATTTCTCTTGCGTATATATCCAGAAAAGAGACTGCTGGGCCATATGGCAACTCTATTTTTTAATTTTTTAAAATTTTTTTAGGAACCACCATCCTGTTTTTGATAATAGCTACATCAATCTATTTTTCCATCAGCAGTGTACAAGGGTTATCTTTTCTTCATAGCCTTACCAACTTTTATAATCTCTTTTCTTTTTGATAATAGCTATCTTAATAAGTGTGAGGTAATATCTCATAGTGGTTTTGATTTTCATTTCCCTTTAAATAAATTTTTTGGAGGATGGAGTTACTGAAAAATTATTATGTTCTTTCAGTTATGTCATGTTTCCTTGCTTTTTTATGTTTCTTGTGTCCCTGTGTTGATCCCTGCACATCTGCTGGAAGTCACCTCTTCCAAATTTTATATTGTGGCTTCTTGGCATTGGGTGTTACATGGCCCACAAGCAGCCGTGGTGGCACTGGGTTCCTGGTTGCAGGTACTCAGAGTAGCTATGAAGCCTGAGTGCTGGGATCAGGATCTCCTAAACCTTCTCTTGAATCTGGGACTTGGGGTGCAGGTTTACTCTTTGAGGCATGGGTAGATGCAGATTGCCCACAAAGCTAAATTCTGTGATACTAAGGACACCTCAAGAGCTTGGGCCCAGGAGGTTTGGTTGTAGCTAGGACCTTAACCCTGGGGGCAGGGCACAGCATTAGCCTGACTTCTGAGAGGGAGGAGTGCTCTTTAGGTTTGGGCCCTGAGGAATAAGGCACAACTGTAATTTGGAAGCTGAAGCCAATAGGGCATAGCAGCAACTCAGGCCCTGGGGGATGAAGTAACATACAGTGGTCATTCCGGACCCTGGGATAATCCTAGGCTTCTGTGAAGCTGGGTGTAGCAGTAGCAAAGGCTCATTAATGGTGGAGCACTGCTGTGGCTTGGACTGCGGAGGCCAGGGAGCAGCACAGCAATGAACCCACTCTCTGGAAAGGCAAGCTGCCTTAGCACCTCAGGCTCTGGGGGCCTAGTCCAGTTCCAGGGCAGCAGGGTGCCACCTTTTTTGCCCTGGAGGACAAAGTATCCCAGATCAATGAATGCTCTGTGTCCCTGGGATGCAGGGTGCCATGAAAGCTCAGCCATGGCAGGCGTGGCTGCTCAGCTTGTCCAAGGCACCAACTCCCTGGGAGGTGGCGAACTGCTTCAGCTCAGGTTCCAGGAAATAAGACCACATTAGGGAGTCTTGGTAAAGATTCCCCGGGAGGCAGAGCATTGCTTCTGCTCAGGCAGCTGGGAGGGTGACTGCTCTGAGTTGCACCAATTTTCCAGTAGCTAGGGTACCACTTCAGCTCAGGCTATAGAGGGTTGTGACCCTAGGGAGCTATGGCAATGATTCCCTCTAAAGTGGGGTGCTGCTTCAGCTCTGGTGCTAGGATGTATGACTGCTCTGGGTAGCCAAGGCACTATTTCTCCAGAAAGCAGGATGCCAATATTGTTCAGGGCCTGAAGGGCAAGGTGCAGCAGTGCCTAGGAGGGATGGATGGAGCAGCTTCGCTGCAGCTTGGCCCTAGGGTATTCAGGGTAGTGGCAACTCAGCTGGGGGATGGCTGACCTCTAGGAGGGTGTGGTACTGCAGGGACAAAGCCCTGAGGATGAAAAGTGTTCGGTGGCTCCTCATCCCTGGAGCAAGACACACTCCAGCAGTGGCTCTGGTTCCAGCATGGTGTAGTATAGGCAGCGCCAGCCTTGGAGGACTGGACAGAGCATTGGCTTCTTCTCTGGGGGAAGCACAGTCGCGTGAGCCTCAGGCAGCTGCCTCAGTTGGGCTTAGTGCCTGCGACAATGGTGAGAGTCCTCACTGGCAATGACTGTAGGTGACTACAGTGTTGATGGAGGTTGTTGGGGTCCTCTTGCTTACTTTTGCCCCACAGGGAAAAGTCCATCCTGGGTCTGAGCTGATACCAATTGGGAAATTGGGTGTTAGAGGTCATGTGTATCTGTCTGTATTTTGTGTGGCCAACCTGGATTTCTGTGCTCTACAGTGTTTCTGCTATTCCTTTGATGTACTCTGGAGCTCTCCTTTAGGTATTTTCATCAAAGGGTAGCTATTTATTTGTTGCGTTGGCTGTCTTTGTGTGGGGAATGAGCACTAGGGGCTTCTAGTCAGCCATCTTGCTGACATCACTCCTCCATAATTGTATTTTAAAATTAATGCTATAAAAAGCAGTTTCTTTTAGCCAGAGGGAATACAAAAATAGATCAATTGATAGTTATAATAAGTGGCAAGCAACAGGTTGCACAAATCACCATTTTGAAAAATGAATGTTCTTCTTAGACCACTTTTAATCTCTTAGTCAAAATGTCAAAAATATATTTTAACTTTTGGGGAAAGCCTGTATCATACAATATCAAGATAAAACAGCACAGTAGATAAGTCTTTGTACTGAGGGCATGCTAACAAATGTGCATTGTGTTGGCAAGATGCATTTTGTTTTTCTCATCTGGATTTTAAAATAAAGCTGTTTCACTCTTTTCTCAAGTATAGTACATTCTTTTTAAATCAAAGGAGAAAGAAAGCTTTTCTTTTTTATTTGAATGTGAAAGAAAATAACACATTCCACTTAAAAGAAAGCAAAGGAACGTTTAATGTCAAGAACAGTCCTTGTGGAACAAACAGTATGGAAGACTGAGTGACCACTGGAATTACAAAACAAAACCACAACAAAAACAAATAAGCAAATATTAAAACAACAGCAACTAGTAGTTTTACTCTTATTAGGAAATCGTTAGTCAGAAAAAACACCAAAAAAGAGATGTTTCATTGTTATTGTTGTTGTCATCAGATATGTATTATTCAGCAATTCATGCATTGATGGGTTGTTAAAAAATGTGCAACATATTCTATAGTATGATACATATTGGAGTTTGTGATACTTTAGTTATTAGCTAGACATATGATTGACAAATCTTCTAGAAAAGACTAGTGCTCAAATGCACCGTCAACTGGTGATGAGGGGTGGGAAGGAGAATAACATTCAACATCTCAATTATTTTTAGAGCTAACATTCTATTAAAAAATCACTCATAACCTGATTCTTCACATTGCTATTCTTTATCACATAATATTTTGGTATGTCTTTTCTTAGACTACGTTAATTTTGTAGAGCAAAGCAGAAAAGTTAAAATACAATTTGCTATTTGTTGATCATAAATGCGTAAGTATAGAATGTTAGAAGGACCTCAGGTATATGGTAGAATCTATTACTTGCCCAGAAAGAAAAATGAAGTCCAGGAAAGACAGTTAATTTGCACCAATTCATGCAGTGTGGTAAACAGAATATTGGCTCCCCAAAGATGTCTACCTCCTTATCCCTGGAAAAATCTTGTCAAAATTCCCTATGTGGTAAAAGGGCTTTGAATATGTGATCAAATAAAGTATCATCAGGTGCGGAAATGATTCTTGGTTACCAATGTGGGAACCATGTAACATGTGTCCTTGTAAGAGAGAGGTAAGAGGGTCCGAGCTGGAGAGTAGGAGCTGTGATTAGAGAAACACATTCTAAAAGCTTTAAAATGAAAAAAACAAAAATTGGCACCTCCCTCCAGTCTACAGAAGGATTAGAGCCTTACTGACCCACTCTTAATTTCTGATACTGAGACAACAGATTTGCATTGCTTTAACATACTAAATAGTTTATGGGAATTACTTCTACAGTCATATGAAATTAATATAACCAACTATGAAGTTTTGTAAGCAATGACAAGGTTTTTATTTGTACGTATAAACAACCCAACATAATACCATTTAATATAATAACATGTAAAACTATCTCCCCTTTAAAACCTGTAATAGCTTGATGTCTTCAGTAAGATGTTAGCTCCACAGTTCTCAGTTACATGACCTTTTAAAAATACACTTGATCTACCCAACCCTAGTCATACTACAAATGACTGCAGGCTGCCGCTCTGATTTTTAGATAAAACAACATATACATGAGTGAAATAACATACATTAGACCAAACCATAAGAAATGGTCAATTTTCTAGCATTTTTGGCATATAGAAATGGCAATTTTATATGGTTCTATACCATGAATGCCTGGAGTAGACTCTATAATGTGTTACCTACCTGACCCCTAGGTGAAGGATTTGTTGCCGTGGTTCCTGGGCGTGCTGTAAGCACTTGACTGTTAGCCCCTAGTATAAAGTCACATGGATCTTTGGATCTAGTGACTGACTAATGCAGACCTTTAAAGTCTTGGCCATCTTGTCCTAGTTGGGAGCAATTCTAAATGGTCATTCTAGCTCCGAAGATTTCCCTGAGTTGAGCAGATGCTGTTGTGAGAGCTACATCATGGTTTAACTCCTATCTCTGCCTAGAGTTGCTTCCTTTTCCACAGGGCTGTTCTAAGGGCACTCCTGAATAAACATCCCACATTATTACCTCTCAGAGAACCCAACCTGTAGCAATGCAAAACAACGTTTAATCTTACAGCATACAGCATTTCATAAAAACACAAAAGCCTAGTATTGTGTCTAGTATGATGCCATGGCAGAGCAGGGGAGTCACCATCAGGGGTCAAGCTTCTTTGGGCAGTGTTGTCCCAACAGGTCTATGACACATTGATTATGGAACTGTCAATTGACTGATAATGTATTAGAATGTACACGAGAGCATTCATTTTGTTTTATGGGGTAGTAATAAAAATAATGAAGGTTGTCTAATCTTGCTGCCTTTTTTCTCTTTGTGCTTCAGTTTCCTATCTGTGCAATGTGGATAATAATTGTGAATGCTACTTTACCTGCTGTAGTCATCTGAGGGGTTTTCCTGCCCACTGCACAGACAAAATCAGTTCTCTAAGATCATCACATTGCAGTAAAGAAAGACTTTAAATGTCACAAGGTTAGCCATGTGAAGGAGTAGAATTATTGCTTAAATCGATCTCCCTGAAGGCTTGGAGGTTAGGGGTTTTCGAGGATAGTTTGGTGAGTAGGGGACTAGGGAATGGATGCTGCTGATTGGTCAGGGATGAAATCACAGGAGTGTGAAAAACGGTCCTCAGGCACTGAGTCTGCCTCTGGGTGAGGGGCACAGGATGGGTTGAGTCATGAGTCATGAGTCTATATGTGGTCGATTGGTTGCCAGAATGCAAAAATCTAAATAATGTTTCAAAACACCAATCTTAGGTTGTACAATATAATGTTATCCATGCAAGTAATTGGTGAAGTTGCAAATCTTGTGGAACAATGGCTTGTTATAATTTAACTATGCCTACATCTTAGCAGAATTCAGGTCCGTGTCATAATCCTAACCTTGTGTCCTTTCATCAGTTGTATAAAGGCAGTTTCGTTCTGGGAGGGAATAGTACTATCCTTGCTTTAAGGTTAAACTACGAAATAAATTTCTCCCCAAATTAGCTTGGCCTACACCCAGGAAAGACCAATGACAACTTGGAGAATAGAATAAGATGGAATCAACTATGTCAGATTTCTCTTACTGTCATAATTTTGCGAAGGCGATTGCACCACTAATTGTGATGTTGTAAGCAATACATGAGTTAGTACACGTAAGCTCTTTAAATGGTTCCTGGTGCTTAGTAACCACTAAACAAATGTTAGGTATTAGCTATTGTTTTCTAGTACAATGTTCAAAGAATTTTTCTTATACAGCCGTTCTTGTCCATGAGGGATATGTTCCAGGACCTTCAGTGGATGCCTGGAACCTCAAAGAGTACCAAACCCTATAGATATATGAATATCTATGATAAGGCTTAATTTTTTTCTCTACATACATACCTATGATAATGTTTAATTTAATTAAGAATAAGCTAATCTGGCACAGAATGTTGCTATTAATCAGACATGTTTCTGCTTCATGTCTTCCATCTACAATTCAATGCCTTTCCCATCTTAATTAAGTGCTTACACAGTAGCCATAACTTTTGCAGTTTGAGATGTGATAGAAAAACCAGCACAAATTTCCTTTTTCTTCTCACAATTTTGCAGGTAGTAGATTCCTTCTTACTGCAGCTCTTAGCAACTTCAGCATACAACTATTTTTATTTTATTAACAAGTGGAGAACCTTTACCTTTTCACATAAAGGAAGAACTTCAAGGCTTCTTTTTGGCATATCAGAAGAGTGAGCCAGCATCACAACTTTTGCACTTTTGAGCCATTATTAAGTAAAATAGATATGACTTGAACTCAAGCACTGCAATACAGAAACCATTAATCTGATAACTGAGACCACTGCTAAGCGACTAACATTCAGAAGAGCATGTACAGTGTGGATACCCTAGACAAAGAGATGATTTACTGCCTGAGAGAGACAGAGTGGGATCACATGAGATTTTATCATGCTACACATAATGATATGCAATTTAAAACGTATGAATTGTTTATTTCTAGAATTTCTATTTAATGCTTTTGAACCATATTTGTGAATAATGAAACAGTAGAAAGTAAAACCATGAAAAAGGGGAAACTATTATATTGTTGCTTTCTTTCCACTGACTTTTTTTTTCATCTACAAATATTCCCGGTCTCCTAAATAAACAGTCAAACAGGCAAGCAGAATAATAATGTCTTCTCTCTTTTCTTTCCCTTTTTAGTTACCCCATTTCTCCTTTTCATCATTTAACAAAATGTTAGTCTCCAGTAACTGCTTTACTTCCTTGTGCTCTGTTTGGCCCACAGATTTCATACAATACAGATTCTAACTGTAGCAGAATGATACATTTATTTCCACTATAGCTCAGAAGGACAGAATAGTCAATTTCATATATATACATGCACATAAACAATAAAATGGATCTGTGCCCCAAGTTTAATCATTGGCCAACAGGAAAATCAACACCTATAATTACAGAATCCAACTATATAGACAACTCTGTCTAAAGCTTTGTGGCACTTAATCATTCAAATACTTCATTTATGGTGACTTCAATCTTAGTGATACAAATAATCAGTCTCACTCAAAGCCACCATTCCCCTTCCTAGTTAGAGGGAATCTCCATGAATGGAAGGAAGAGTTTATATTTTCTCTCAATAGCAGGATGCTTGGCATGAGTGCCTTTTTCTTACTCCTGTGATCTTTCAGCTTGACTTCCGGTCCGCCTGTATTACTTGTTCTCTCTGCATTTGTGGCTGAGTTAAATGGTCATGTAAACTTTTTTGGCCTGATGGCCCCTCCTAGCTGACTTTTCCTAGCTTCATATAACTCCAGGCTCTTGAGTGGCTCCAGGCCCGCAGCTGCTGGCAAAGTTCTGCATCCAGCTGGCTGGTCTGACAGTCTGCTCTTAAGCCACAGAAGCTAACCACTGTTCCCAAATCCTTGTCCTTAACCTTTCATCACTACTTACTGCCTGACCATATTTAACTAGCAAGTATGCTTATCAAAAACTGCTCCATACCCTCCAAACAGATGCTCAGAGAGCAGAAATCCGTAGTTAAGTTTTGATATCTTTGCCTTTCCACTCTTTATCTGTTCCTCTTAATTGGGATGAAAATAAAAAGGGGGTGATTTTTCAGTTTTTATCCCTCATAGCATGTACTCTTTCTTCTTTACTTCAGCTAAGAAGTAGTTTTTCTTCTCAAGCCATGGGAAAATCTCAACCAGCTAAACCCTCTAAGATCAGTTTTTAAATATGCTAATTTGACATGATCTCAGCTAATGAAGAGATAAGTCTTTCAGGATCTTACAGGTCAAGTATTTCTCTTCAACTGGGTCAACTGTCTTTAAGGCTCTACAATTTTTATTTTGTATGTGTAATGGCAGGGGACTGTGGCAGTAACTGATAAATAGAATATAATTTAAATTGAGATTTAAAACTGAATTAGTTTACTGTTATATTGCTATAGACACATTGAAATGTTCTTAGTTGTTCAAATATCCACATTGAAATGTTTGTAGTTGTTCAAATATCCACTTATATTGCATATTCTGTTTTCTTAGCCAACGACACTCCTATTTCCATATATATATATATTTTTTGGTGAGACAGAATCTCGCTCTGTGGCCCAGGTTGGAGTGCAATGGCGCGATCTCGGCTCACTGCAAGCTCGGCCTCCCGGGTTGATGCCATTCTCCTGCCTCAGCCTCCCAAGTAGCTGGGACTACAGGTGCCTGCCACCACGCCCGGCTAATTTTTTGTATTTTTAGTAGAGATGGGGTTTCACCATGTTAGCCAGGATGGTCTCGATCTCTTGACCTCGTGATCTGCCCGCCTCGGCCTCCCAAAGTGCTGGGATTACAGGCGTGAGCCACCTTGCCTGGCCTCCTATTTCCATTCTTTAACTGAAAACTTTTATTCAGCCCGTCAAGTTAAAAATCAGTTGCCACCTATTTTATGAGGTTTCTCTGGATCCCCTTGGATTTCCTTAGCATTTTATATATACCTCTATAAATGACTTATTGCATTAATCTCCTCTGTTTGATTTACTCCTTGGGGAAAGGGTTATTCTTATTTTTTTTTTATTGTTGTTTGAATTGCTTCTCCCCTTAATATCAAGAAGGGTTCCTGGCACAGCATAGACATTCAATAAATATATGCTTGACAGGTTTTGTAAATCAAACTTCTAGATGATATTATAACTGGGTTGAGAAAATACAAAATAACCATGCAAAGTGTGAAATAAAAAATTCAATTTATTTAATGTAACAGTATAAGAAAGATCACAAGGCAGTACATGATGATTCGTAGTCAAGTGAGTAATACAACCAAAGTTTGGAGGAGGTAGAGATTATTAGAATGTAGAATGGTTTCAAAAATCATAAATGGGAAGATGAGGAAAATTTGAACTTCAAACATCAGTGGTTAGTTCAAATTTATCTAGTATCTACTGATTAAATCATGTACAGGTCTTTCTCAGCATTTCTGTCTTTTCTTAAAATATGCCATAACTGAGAATTTACTTCTGTCATACTGCAAAGATGTCCAATATTATAGCAATTTGATGGGTTAATCTGTATTTACAATAATACAGATGACTACAGGGAATAATACAGAGTGTATGAGGTTTGCAAATTTTATTTATCTAATAATAAATTCAGAATGCCATGTATCAATTCTTCTAGTTAAAATATACCTATTACACATGTACTATGTTAACTGTACTTGCTGGGCTGGGGGACAACTAAGATGGCTGATGATCTCTCAAGAGCTTATAGTCTCGTAGAGGGAGACAGACATGTAAATACATAATGCAGTAAAATATTCTATGTATCATTAATAGATATACACACAGAATTATTGGGCATAATGGAGGTACTTCACACACAAAAAAGTTTGTTTAGAGTGTATTTAGACTAAGCCTTGAACAGTGAATACATGTTTACCAGATGGATTAATACAGTAGAAAGGACACTGTGGGAAAAAAAAAAAAAGTGTAAAAATGTGGAAAAGCTTGGCTTCTCCGGAAATTTGATGTAATTTTATCATAGGGGCCACTGGCATGTGGATATTTGACACAGGGACAGAAGAGGGCATTTCAGGAAGAACAGATCTTTTCTCGGTCTCTGTTGGCAAAATTCCTTTCTTTGCTAATATTTTCTTTCGCTATGATAGTTTTTTTTGTTTTTTTGTTTTTTTGTTTTTTTGTTTTTTTTTTTTTTTTTTTGAGACAGAGTCTAGCTCTGTCGCCCAGGCTGGAGTGCAGTGGCAAGATCTCGGCTCACTGCAACCTCCACCTCCTGGGTTCACACCATTCTCCTGCCTCAGCCTCCCGAGTAGCTGGGATTACAGGCGCCTGCCACCACGCCTGGCTAATTTTTTGTATTATTATTATTATTTTTTTTTAGTAGAGACGGGGTTTCACCGTGTTAGTCAGGATGGTCTGGATCTCCTGACCTCGTGATCCACCCGCCTTGGCCTCCCAAAGTGCTGGGATTACGGGCGTGAGCCACCGCACCCGGCCTGCTTTCATAGTAATTTTAAGGACAGGTTTCTTAGCTGGAGGTTCTGCCTTCTTGAAAATTTTAGGTACTCCTCTGAACCTCACATAAATCTATTATCTTCCATGAGATATACTTCTGAGGTTCATACCCTATTTAGATATTAATATTCCACAATTCTTACTTGTGTAGCTTCATGTTTCTATACCTCAAGAGATAATTCATAACAGTTTGAAACTATTTTTAGGCCGGGCGCGGTGGCTTACGCCTGTAATCCCAGCACTTTGGGAGGCCAAGGCGGGTGGATCACGAGATCAGGAGATCGAGACCATCCTGGCTAACAGGGGGAAACCCCGTCTCTCCTAAAAATACAAAAAAAATAAGCCGGGCATGATGACGGGCGCCTGTAGTCCCAGCTACTCGGGAGGCTGAGATAGGAGAATGGAGTGAACCCGGGAGGCGGACTTTGCAGTGAGCGGAGATCGTGTCACTACCCTCCAGCCGGGACGACAGAGTGAGACTCTGTCTCAAAAATAAAAAAAACTATTTTCAAATCTTATCATCTGTCACACTACTTCTTCCTTTATCTTCTCGGCTCATTTCCTTTCTTCTTAACTTATGCTCAGTGTCTACTCTAGGCCAGATTCTGTTAAGTGCTTTATTTTATTCTAATAATTCTTACAATGACCTTATAATATAAGTGCAATTACTTTATTCATTTTATGTAAGGGGGGAGACAAATGCACAACATCATAGAGTTAGCTAATGACAAATCTGGGATTCAGACTCAGGCAACCTAGCTCTAGAAAGTATCTTCTTGGCTACTACTCTGGAAATAAATTATCAAGCTTCCAACACCATGTCTATTCACCTATTCCATCTGAGCCTATAAAATCCATCTTCCCTTTGCTACTCCTTTATTGCTTATCTTTTTTGCTTCTATTGAGAAACATGCCTCTGTGATATTCCAACACCAATTTCCTTCTTAAGAATATCACTCCATTGATTCTTCTCTCTCTCTCTCTCTCTCTCCGTTTTTCATCATCATTATGCAATATTTCTGATGGTCATGCAAATATGTTCAGCAGTAATTCTCTCATATCTGCATAACCCCTTGAATTTATTTACCATCATCACATCAACCCCATTTATCACCTGTATTTTAGAGTAAAACACAAAAGCATTGCCATTGCCTTTTGGCTAAGAGCAAGTATAAAAGTCTTGCCTATTTGCACTGTCTCAAATTTCTCTATTCTCATTCTTTTGTGAAGCCTCTCCAGTTGGGCTTTAACCTCCACTTTCAAATCAAACTGCTATTTTCAAAGGTCTCCAGTGATGTCCATGAGGCTAAATAGTCAGTTCTCATGCTTCTTCCTACTTGGCCTGTCAGCAACATTCTACTTAGTTGATCCCTCCCTCCATGAAATACTTTATTCACTACACTTCTAACACAATGCATTCCCCATGTTTTCTCTTTAATGGTCTCTCCTTGTCACTATTTTTTTTTTTTTTAGTTTATCATCATCTCCAAAATCTCTATAAGACTCAATCCTTAAACTTTTTCTCTTTTTTAAAACATCAAAATTAATTTCTTTGGCAATTTTGTCTAGTCTAATACTTTTATATGCCATCAATACACTTACAAACCCACATTTATATCCCAAGCACTGACCTGTTCCTTGAACTCCAGTTCATATATCCATCTGCATACTTAACTGTCCACTTTGATATATAATGTGCATCTCACATTTAACATGTTTGATCTCTCTTCAATTTCCGCTAAAATCTGCTTCTCCTATCTTTTTTTCTGTCTCATTCTTACAATTGTTCAGACAACATATCTGGGACTTAATTGTTCCTGACTCATCTTTTCCTCACATATCCCATATTTTATGAATCAGCAAATATTTTAAGTTCGATCTTTAAAATATATTTGATTCCACACCCTTTCATAGCCTTCACCACAACAATCATGGTTTGAATCTCTATCGTCTCTCATATGGATTATCTTTCGATTTCCTGGAGCAGCCGCAGTGCATCCTCTAATATCTGCCAGATGACCTTCTTCTACTCAAAACACTCCATTGTTTTTGCATCTGACTCAGAGTAAACTTGAGTAGATGACCTAGGAGGTTGTACAAAATCTGCCACCAACATAATTATCCCTCCGACTCATTCTCTGACCACACGCATATTGTTTAGTTTATTTCAAAATACTCTGTGTTACTTCTACTTCTTTCTCAGGGCTTCTGCAGTTGCAAATCTTTCTACTTGGCAAAATTACCCCTCAGGTGCCTTCAGTACTTACTCTTCCAACTCTTTCAGGTAATCTTCTATGGTCACCTGATTTTAAATTTAAATTTGCAGCAAATCTTTCTCCTTTCTGGATCACACTTTATACCTTTTCTGTCTTAGTGAACTCTATTAATTTACAGCCATACAACTTACTATATATTTTTACTTATTTACTTGTTTATTTTCTATTTCAGTTTAAAATATAGAACTTAGGAGGGAAAGTTTTTATCTGTTTCATTCACTTATGTATCACTAGTATCTTGGACATAAAATAAATATTTTTGTGTAAATAAAAAATGAATATACAGGAATACAGTACAATTCAGTCTTAACTGTTTCCTAGTCATATTAAGAAAAGAAAAATCAAGAAATATTATTTATTTATTTTTTATTATACTTTAAGTTCTAGGGTACATTTGCACAACGTGTAGGATTGTTACATATGTATACATGTGCCATGTTGGTGTGCTGCACCCATTAACTCGTCATTTACATTAGGTATATCTCCTAATGCTATCCCTCCCCACCCCATGACAGGCCCCAGTGTGTGTGATGTTCCCCCTCCTGTGTCCAAGTGTTCTTACTGTTCAATTCCCACCTATGAGTGAGAACATACGGTGTTTAGTTTTTTGTCCTTGTGATAGTTTGCTGAGAATGATGGTTTCCAGCTTCATCCATGTCCCTACAAAGGACATAAACTCATCCTTTTTTATGGCTGCATAGTATTCCATGCTGTATATGCGCCACACTTTCTTAATCCAGTCTATCATTGTTGCACATTTGGCTTGGTTCCAAGTCTTTGCTATTGTGAATAGTTCCACAATAAACATACATGTGCATGTGTCTTTATAGCAGCATGATTTATACTCCTTTGAGTATATATTCAGTAATGGGGTGGCTGGGTCAAATGGTATTTCCAGTTCTAGATCCTTGAGGAATCGCCACACTGTCTTCCACAATGGTTGAACTAGTTTACAGTCCCACCAACAGTGTAAAAGTGTTCCTATTTCTCCACACCCTCTCCAGCACCTGTTGTTTCCTGACTTTTTAATGATCGCCATTCTAACTGGTATGAGATGGTATCTCATTGTGGTTTTGATTTGCATTTCTCTGACGGCCAGTGATGGTGAGCATTTTTTCATGTGTCTGTTGGCTGCATAAATGTCTTCTCTTGAGAAGTGCCTGTTCATATCCTTCGCCTCCTTTTTGATGGGGTTGTTTTTTTTCTTGTAAATTTGTTTGAGTTCTTTGTAGATTTTGGATATTAGCCCTTTGTCAGATGAGTAGATTGCAAAAATTTTCTCCCATTCTGTAGGTTGCCTGTTCACTCTGATGGTAGTTTCTTTTGCTGTGCAGAAGCTCTTCAGTTTAATTAGATCCCATTTGTCAATTTTGGCTTTTGTAGCCATTGCTTTTGGTGTTTTAGACACGAAGTCCTTGCCCATGCCTATGTCCTGAATGGTATTGCCTAGGTTTTCTTCTAGGGTTTTTATGGTTTTAGGTCTAACATTGAAGTCTTTAATCCATCTTGAATTAATTTTTGTATAAGGTGTAAGGAAGGGATCCAGTTTCAGCTTTCTACATATGGCTAGCCAGTTTTCCCAGCACCACTTAATAAATAGGGAATCCTTTCCCTATTTCTTGTTTTTGTCAGGTTTGTCAAAGATCAGATGGTTGCGGATGTGTGGTATTATTTCTAAGGGTTCTGTTCTGTTCCATTGATCTATATCTCTGTTTTGGTACCAGTACCATGCTGTTTTGGTTACTGTAGCCTTGTAGTATAGTGTGAAGTCAGGTAGTGTGATGCCTCCAGCTTTGTTCTTTTGGCATAGGATTGTCTTGGCAATGCAGGCTCTTTTTTGTTTCCATATGAACTTTAAAGTAGTTTTTTCCAACTCTGTGAAGAAAGTCATTGGTAGCTTGATGAGGATGGCATTGAATCTATAAATTACCTTGGGCATTATGGCCATTTTCACAATATTGATTCTTCCTATCCATGAGCATGGAATGTTCTTCCATTTGTTTATGTCCTCTTTTATTTCATTGAGCAGTGGTTTGTAGTTCTCTTTGAAGAGGTCCTTCACATCCCTTGTAAGTTGGATTCCTAGGTATTTTATTCTCTTTGAAGCAATTGTGAATGAGATTTCACTCATGATTTGGCTGTCTGTTTGTCTCTCATTGGTGTATAAGAATGCTTGTGATTCTTGCACATTGATTTTGTATCCTGAAACTTTGTTGAAATTGCTTATCAGCTTAAGGAGATTTTGGGCTGTGATGATGGGGTTTTCTAAATATACAATAATGTTAAGAAACTCGCTGAAAACCACTCAACTACATGGAAACTGAACGTTCTGCTCCTGAATGACTACTGGGTACATAATGAAATGAAGGCAGAAATAAAGATGTTCTTTGAAACCAATGAGAACAAAGACAAAACATACAAGAATCTCTGGCACACATTTAAAGCAGTTTGTAGAGGGAAATTTATGGCACTAAGTGTCCACAAGAGAAAGCAGGAAAGATCTAAAATTGACACCCTAACATCACAATTAAAAGAAGTAGAGAAGCAAGAGCAAACACATTCAAAAGCTAGCAGAAGGCAAAAAATAACTAAGATCAGAGCAGAACTGAAGGAGTTAGAGACACAAAAAACCCTTCAAAAAATCAGTGAATCCAGGAGCTGGTTTTTTGAAAGGGTCAACAAAATTGATAGACTGCTAGCAAGACTAATAAAGAAGAAAAGAGAGAAGAATCAAATAGATGCAATAAAAAATGGTAAAGGGGATATCACCACTGATCCCATAGAAATACAAACTACCGTTAGAGAATACGGTAAACAACTCTACGCAAATAAACTAGAAAATCTAGAAGAAATGGATAAATTCCTCGACGCATACACCCTCCCAAGACTAAACCAGGAAGAAGTTGAATCCCTGCATAGACCAATAACAGGCTCTGAAATTGAGGCAATAATTAATAGCCTACCAACCAAAAAAAGTCCAGGACCAGATGGATTCACAGCTGAGTTCTACCAGAGGTACAAGGAGGAGCTGGTACCATTCCTTCTGAAACTATTCCAATCAATAGAAAAAGAGGGAATCCTTTGTAACTCATTTTATGAGGCCAGCATCATCCTGATACCAAAGCCTGGCAGAGACACAACCAAAAAAGAGAATTTTAGACCAATATCCCTGATGAACATCAATGCAAAAATCCTCAATAAAATACTGGCAAGCCAAATCCAGCAGCATATCAAAAAGCTTATCCACCAAGATCAAGTCGGCTTCATCCCTGGGATGCAAGGCTGGTTCTACATACGCAAATCAATAAACGTAATCCAGCATATAAACAGAACCAATGACAAAAACCATATGATTATCTCAATAGATTCAGAAAAGGCCTTTGACAAAATTCAACAGCCCTTCATGCTAAAAACTCAATAAAATATGTATTGCTGGGACGTATCTCAAAATAATGAGAGCTATTTATGACAAACCCACAGCCAATATCATACTGAATGGGCAAAAACTGGAAGAATTCCCTTTGAAAACTGGCACGAGACAGGAATGCCCTCTCTCACCACTCCTATTCAACATAGTGTTGGAAGTTCTGGCCAGGGCAATCAGGCAGGAGAAGGAAATAAAGGGTATTCAATTAGGAAAAGAGGAAGTCAAATTGTCCTTGTTTGGTTTATATTTTTCTTATGTCAAATATCTGTAGACTACAGCAATATAGATTCTTGAAAACCAATTAATATCAAGATGTGAACTTTATAAATGCCTGCTTGTTTCCACGTTTGCTCTACCATACTTATTTAGGGTTGGGAAACTTTGGTAATTCTTATAGATTACTGTTCCAGATCTGGTCAGAAATCAGTGTTTCTACCACATTGAGATTCTACCACATCGTTCTTGCCTCTGTAGCTTATGAGCAGAATGATTATCTCTGCAACTAAGTTTTTACATTTATCAATTAGAGATAATTGAAATACTTCTCAGTATTATTGTGAAAATTACATAAGTTAACATATTTACATCTTTAGCTTCTCCCCAGCACACATATATGCGCACACACACACACACACACACACACACTTTCACACATACATTTATTCATTTTTTTTTGTAAATGATGAAATGTCATATTATAGTGGTAAAGGCTTTGGAATCTGCACAATTTAGGTTTTTATCTCAAGGCCGTTGCAGAGTAACTGAATATTTTATGAGTCACATTCTCCCTCCATGCCATATTCATGTTCCTTATCTACAAAATGGGCATCAACATTATACATAAAATACAATATGAGACACTCAAGTGACGTAAAAGACAAGTGCTGGATCTGCAAGAGTATGGGCTCTCTAATAAAAAGTAAAAAAAAAAAAAATCCTGGATTTATACCCATTAATTGTATGACCCTGGGTCATGCACTTAATTATTTTCCTTCTTAGTCTCAACTTATAAAATCAAACTATGATTTTTTTCAGAATTGTTGTATAGATCAAATGAATTAATCACTAACAATGTCATTGGTAAACTCTAAAGGGTTAAATGGATATTAATAAAATAACATTATTAGGTAAGATTATATGTATGGATGTATGTACATATATATTTGTGCATGTGTGTTTGTGTATTTTACCCAATTGTTAGTAATTGAAAATTACTTGAGTGCTGCTCTACTGGTGAAAACAGGGAATAGATGAGCTTATGAATAAGTGTGAAAAAGTACAGAGGTGGTGTCTTTTCCTTTCTGTTTATAATTTCAATTGCTAAGGGTCTTCTAAGCACCCATATACAAGAGCACATCCATAGTCTCATTTTAATTTAACCCAGTTGATGTAGCTATTGAAAAATTTTCTGTGTATGGTAGTGTTCTTAGAAGACCTTTCCAACAGGTAAGTCTCCATTTGATTTAGAAAGTATTGACTTGCATTTTGGAAAGTAATGCTTGATCATCAATTGTCTGTTACTATTATTTATAGGAAATGCTTGCTGTCTAAAATTAGGATTTGTAATCCTACAGGTATAATTAATTAATTAGGAATAGATAATATATCTTCTATTATTTCAAGCTAATTTACATATTGCAGAGAGTCAATATTTATTATTGAGGTGAAGATAGGGTAAATAGCATAGAGTATTAATTTGCTCATATAACAGATCTTTACTGCCTACTATATTTTTGACACTCTTATTGAGCTTTTACTTATGTTTTATAATTTCTGTATGTATTTATAATGATTAAGATTTTGACCATGCTAGTTTTCCTGCTTATACTCCAATAAATACATGTCTACATACATATTGAAATCATAGAGCTTTGTCTTTTGTAATGACGTAAAACTCATTTAGTCTAAGCCTCCAATCAGTGCATGAATTCTTCTACCACTTGATATGGTTTTTCTTTTTGTGAATAAACATTTCTTCTGGTGAGATAATTCAATATTCAAATTGTTGATATTAAGTAGAAACATATTATAACTTGGAAAATAAAAGCTAAGGGCTTTTGTTTTTTGTTTTGTTTTTTTTTTTTTTTTGATAAATCTGGTAGAGTCTAGTATTTTTTAATGTTAGTAAAATTTACATTTTCATAAAATATATATATTTTAAAAATCACACAGTGATTTCAAGTTATCGCCATGGCAACTATTTGCATCAGCGTACTATTTCTTTCCCAGATCTATTTCTGTATCATTAAATCCTTGATAATACCTTATTATTTGGTATCTGTTAAACCCACACAAATTTTAATGTCTAATTTACTTAATAAATTATGTATGACAAAAGAGAAAATGTATAGAACAATAAACAACACTATTAATTACCTCATGAAGCAGGAAACCACTGTATTTGTCAGTAGCATTATGTCTTGAAAATAATGCCACCACATAATTATGTGTGAGCATATGTACTTCATTATTGGGATATGTATCCCTTTTCAGATTTATTCATTATAGGGAAGCAAAAACCAGAAACTGGGAGTAGTAAAATTACATTTATTAGAGATGTTTTTATTCTATTAAAACAAAGCAAAGAAAATGGAAACAGAAAAAAAAATACTGTCTTACACTAGGTAAGAGAATAAAAAATGTTGCTGTGGCAACCGCATGCCATTTGTTCTATTTTCCTCATTAGACTACTGAAGGTGATTACACAGAGAGGAAAATACCCCTTCAATTTAAGACAATAATTTGATGGGCATACATATTTCTATTTTCCCCTTGAGTACTTATGAAGCATTATTGTTATTGGATAAGTACCAATAGTCCTTGGAGATTTACAAAGACTTAAAAGAGATGTGAGGATTCCTCAGACCTGGGATCATGGTGGTTGATTTTCATTTTTTTTTCCCCAGTCTGGATACAAAGAGAGGTATACATAACGAAAAGGTTTGCAGGAGAGAGCAATAAAATGCTGTTTGTTTCCATGGCCTCTAGGGTCTTATATGTTTAATGTTGTGTAACTTAGGTGAAGTCATGTCCTCTCTCTCTCTCTCTCTCTCTGTCTGTATATATAGGAATGATATTTGATCACTGATGTATACCTGAACAATGGCAAAATAGATGCATTGTGTAATTGAATGGCTCGAATGCTGAACATGATGCAGTTTCACCTTAAATTCACATATCCCAGTAGCTCTATGTACCTACTGGGCATTCAAAAGTTGACTTAGTCAATGGAAACAGAAACTTGCCGCATGGTTACTATGTCTCAGACTTTCTGAGCCACTTCTCTCTGTTACTGTAATAGTTACTGTGTCTTGATAGCTTCATTACATAATGCTATGGCCTGATGCAGTAGAAAGGCATATCAGCTTGGATAAGCCCATAATTCCAATTTACTCTAGATGTTGTCTTCAATTTCAAAAACACTAGTATAATTTAATACAGGGATTTTCGGGAGTTGTCAAATTTCTAGATCTTGAAATAAAATGTTCAACTCTATTTTCCAGTTGATTCAACTAATGTTTCAATAAATTAACCTTTCCAAATCACTGCTTCATTTAGGTTCTTGAAATCATTAGCTTTCATATGCGAAACTAATTTAAAAATCAGTAAGATTAACTTAGACATGCAAGTTTGTTCTTTATATATTTGATGCGCTTTTATACTATTTGTAGTAGCTGGAAACACAATTTATCCCTGTAGATTTTCACATTTTGAGGCAAAATTCAATGGTTTAAACATGTTTAGGGTTACACATTGTTACAAAAGTAGTACAGGGATAAAAGAGTGTTTACCTTTGAGGCTGTAATATTTCCAATACTATGTAAATACTAAATATCCTTATGTGAGCATGAATTTCCCCCTAGAGCAAAACTATTTTTCTCTCTGATGTAGTATGTAACAGCATGTCATTTAGAATGCAGTGACTTTTCATGGGAGTTGCTAAAACATGTTCAGTTTACACTGAGCTAACTGCTGAAGTCATCTTTGTCTCAGTCCAGTGGTTAATAAAATTACAGTGTTAAGCAGTATTGAAGGAAATAAGTCTGAAAATACAACTTTTAAATGGAGCTTTACCATGGCCTCTACCTTCATGCCTCACTGGAGATCATCAAAGCTCATCTTGTATTTCTTCAGCTTTCCTTTTTTTGCCTTGTTCTACTTTTAAAGGATTCCTAATTCCTTACTCCCAGGAGTTATTTCATAAGTTTATCATTTCCCTGTTTCCCTGGGCCTCTTGAATTTGTGAAGCAATGCATTTTCATACTAAGTACTAAAAAGCCATAGGAAACTAGTAAATAATTTCCTGTGAGTTTATGTGCATTCGTGGATTAAGGGAGTAGTTATAATACTTAACTTTTTTTTACTGGTAATAAGTAGGAACAAAGCCAGCTGTAAAAGTTATTGCATATTTTTACCTGCCTCTCATTCTTTCTTCATAAGGAATCTTAAAATAAAAACATCAATAATATGTAAGCTGAACAAATCTATCAATAGAAAGAGATACATATGTGATAGACAGTTGGATAGCTAGATGTGCACATACATTTGAATATATTGATATAAACCAAAGTTCAGAAAGGGGTTAGTTCTATTTTTCCATTTTATCAGCCCCCAGCTTTGTACAAGATGACAACCTGTACTTTTCTTGAAAAAGCGGTGACATTTATTGTTTAGTTAAGAATCCAAAATGAAGAACAATAATGTAATATTGTTAAATTACTCATTATGGGATTCAAAACATGGTTACAATAAAAATAATATGGTTATTTTTAAAAGAGAAAATCAAGCTATTAAAGGAAATAAAGGAGTAAGCTCTGAGGTCTAATCAAACCTGTATTTCTGTCTAACTTGTAATACTTTTTAGCTGTATAATTTAAGATATGTTATTTATATATGATAATTTAGTCCACATTTTTCTCATTTGTAACATGGAGATAGTAACAGAAACATTGTCAGAAGTCTTTTGTTGGCAATAAATGGGTAAATTCACATTAGCACTAGGAATGCCTGGCATAAGTGTTAAAAATTGCCAATATCAGCATATCTACGTCATGCCATCACCACTACCACAGTCATCATCATCAGCATCATTATCATCATCACCATCATCATCACCTTACCATTATAATTTTCAGTTGCATTACAATTGTAACTTTGACCAGAACAATTAGCTTTGAAAGTTTGTGTAGGGTAGTAATTAAGGGAGGATTTTGAAGTCAGGTTCTCTGCTTTTAAATCACTCCTCTGCCGTAGAGAAGCTGTATGATCTTACCTTTTTTCCTTAATCTTCCAAATCTCAGCACTCTTGGTTGTGAAATGAATCTAACCACAAACCCATTTTATAAAATTATGGTGGACTTTTTTTCCTTTTAATGACTGAGTATATTCCATTGTATATAAATACCACAATTTCTTTATCAACTTGATTGATGGGCATTTGGGCTGGTTCCATATTTTTGCAATTGCAAAAAAGGGTGAGGGGGGTGAGGGGTTAAAGACTACAAATTAGGTTCAGTGTATATTGCTCAGGTGATGGGTACACCAATATCTCACAAATCACCATTAAAGAACTTATTCATGTTACCAAATACCACCTCTTCCTCTAAAGCCTATGGAAATAAAAAATTTAAAAATAAAATAAAATTTAAAAAATTATAGTATAAATTAACTGATAAAAACTATTCTGAGTTTCCTGGCACATAGTAGGAACTTTTAAGTGTTAGTTTTCATCACCACTATTATTACTGTTACTAATATTATTGCATGGAATATTATTTTACGTTATTCTCCCTTTCTGCATCCTCTTGTCTTGGTTACTACATTCCGCAGATGAGGTAGTATGTAGGATATTTTCTGCTAATTGCCTGAAAGAAAATACCAAAGAAAGTTGTTGATTGAATTTTGAGATTTAATTGTATGTTTAAAATTGACTTTATTGAAGTATAATTTACATACAATATCATGTTCTCTTTTAAGTGCGTAGCTCAATTAGTTTTGACAAATGTGTATTTTCTTGGAACTATCACCAGTAGCTTTTGGGTTTTTAAGTTGACTTTTAAAACTAATGGATATGGCAATAGTTTTAAGGGAGAAAAAGTAACTTGTAATGCAAGAATTTGAATGATTGGGTTTCATATTCCTAAATCCTGCAGGATTCAGAACGTTATACTTAAGCCCATAATAACAGATATCAAAAAGTAGCTAGCTGACTCATTTTAGATAAAACCTAAGGCTAAAAAGAGTCAGAGAAAATGGACCATGTGCCCTGCTTTCCAGCTGAGGTGGGGTGAGAGAGAGAGAAAGAGATGGCAGAAACTCTAAATAGGTTTGGAAGCTGTAAGAGACAACCTGAGAGAACCCAAGCAAATGGCCAGTCTCACACTCATAAGAGTACGTACATGCACAGCACGGTTTAGGAGCAGGAGAAGATAAATGTCTGAGTTAGATATCTAAGCAATGGGTCTGTGACACACTTAGTGTTCCTAGAACTTCAGGGCAGTGCAAGAGTACTGTGCTAACCTGAATGCTCAAGAAAAACACCACAGCATCTGAAAGAGTATGAGGGCTAAGAGGCCTGTGGTTAAGTGTGTAGAAGCAGACCAAAGATTAAATTCCAAGTGAAATTTAAATATCTCAATTATTTATGTAGATAAACCAAATATTGATTAAAGAGAAAATGCTTATCTCAGTATACTTCAGCTTGAGTAAAAGGCAATGACTAATGACCATATAACTACTTCTCTACCCAATGCCTTAGCAATCAAATGGTCCAAGTGGCTCCAGACAAAAATGCAGGGTAAGAGGAAGGGAAATTCTCAAATCATTAAGTTCCTGAATTGGCCGCGCTTAAATTGCCAAACCCTGCTGGAATTGGGGCTTAAAACGGAAAGAATATTTTATTATAGGGGAAAATAATTGTATTTATATATCTGGTTTGTAGCATGAAATGTATACTAGCATATCATTTATCAATATAAATGAACCTTTGAAAAGGTTGAGGTGGGAGCAACCATTTCTTTCCTCTCTGGGAAGGTTTCTTATATCCTAAAGTCTTGAAAGGAAAGTGGAGTTAAAACAGAGTGCTTTGCTTTTTTGATTACACAGTACAATGTTTTTATACCCATCATCTACTTATTGATATGTTGATAACATACCTAAAATTACATTCCTTTAGTTCAGCTTTGCTGATTGCACTTTATGTACTCATCACATGACAAGCTTTAATTTGCTGACCACTATTAACCCTCAATTTCTTTCCTTGTTCCTTATATTTTTTTCTTTCTGTTCCAGTTCACATATTTTTCTATTAAGCCAAAATTGTTGATGAAAGAATTTTAAGCAAAGACATAGAATCATTGCTCCAGAATGTCTCCCTTGAATATCAGTGCTTTGGAAATAAATGCTTAAACTTAAAAGTAAATTATAACAGAAAAGCATCCCTCAGAATAGTAAAATCTAAAAGTAAATTACAACAGAAAAGCATCACTCAGAATACATATTGAAAGACAAAATAAAAAATAGGTGAACGGTAATAAAAACCTTTATTCAGTGAGTAAAGTAGACAATATGTTTTAAGCATTCTACTATTCAGTAAATAATAATAGTCTCTTTATTATGTATCAAAAATATTCCTAGAAGTTGTTTTTTAAAAATTTGCTTTTATCTCTTACTGCTCAGTCCAGCATTAGCCTTTTATTTTTTCAATCTTGGGACTAACTTTCGGATTATCTGTGAAAATTTTGGTCACTGGTTACATATCTCCTTTTCCCAGTTACAGGACTTATCTCTTTTCAGAATTTTATAAAACTATGTCTTAATTTCTTGATTCTACCTGCTGTTTTATCCCTTTTATGTGCATTCATCTATATGTCTATTTACATTTTATGTGACTATTCTGAGAGAATTCTTCAGTTTGATTTTATAAAACAGTACCATATGGCCTTCTAGCAATTTCTCAACTTTGCTCTTGTAACACATAAGCAGCCATAGATGATATGTAAACAAATATGAATGCTGTGTTCCCATAAAACTTTATTTACAAAACAAGAGATAAGCAGGGTTTGGCTTATGTGCTATAATTTGCCATCATATATTGTAGATGACTATTCTATCTTTGTTCAAAGTAGTTTGCAGTTTTCAAAAGATTTGAGTGTTTTATAAATCATTTTAATATTAAATTGGGAAAAATCTAAACATACAAATAATTACATTGCAAATAGACTAAATATTTCACTCAAGATTATCAGAGTAAATATAAAAAATATATAAATAAAAACAACATTTTGCAAGATCTTCTCTACAAGAGAAATACTTCAGATTTAAAGATGGAAATAGATTGAAACTAAAATAATGAAAAAGATATACCATACAAATCGTAACTAGAAGAAACTAGAAGTAGCTGTATTAATATTAAAAAATTAGGTTTTAATGCAAGAAATGTTACTAGAAACAGGTAGTTTATAATAGTAAAGAGATCAGTATATTGGGAACATAAAACAATTCTTGTGCATTCTACATATTTTCCATCAATCAACATTCTACTTCAAATTTGCCACCTCCCCTTTTTCTGTGTCTCTTCCCTCCTTTGCCCCTTCTTTATCTTCCCAGCCATCTGCTCTTTCCCTCCCCATCTCACATTCCCTGTGGTGGAGTAATGAAAGAGGAAGAAACAGAAACCCCACTCTATAGTCCTATGAAAAGCAGCTAGTTTTAGAGTAAATATTTTTCTGACTTATGCTGTGAAGATTTTTTTGCAGTAAGTGTTATATTTCCAGAATAATTTAATAATTTAATGGAATTAAAAGAATAAATAAATCAGTAATTATAGATAAAGATTTAAATACCCCTTTCTTAGTAATTATAAAACTAGACACTCAGTAAGGATGTAGAAGACTTGTACAATGCTACCAATCAAAGAGTCCTAACTAACATAACTAGAATATTCCATCCACAACAGCAAAATGTATGTTTTTTTCAAGAATACATAGGATAGGATAAATAATATGTTAGTCATAAAACAAATGGTTATAAATTTAAATGGATCAAAATAAAATGTTCTTTAAAATCAATGAAGTTAAATTATAAAAAGAGAAAGAAATACGGAAATTCTCAAGGATGCAGAGCATGAACAACACATTGTTTAATAACTCATGAGTTAGAGAAAAAAATTACAAAAATGTGGAAATTATTTTCAACTGATTAAAAACAACACAACATCTCTAAATTCATGGGATGCAAACGTAATGATTAGTAGAACATTTATAGCTTTAAACACAAAATTAGAAAGACAGACCTAAAATTAATAATTTGAACTTTTACCATAGGAAGCAACAAAACAGAAGAGCCAATCAAATCCAATACACTTAGAAATAAATAAGTAGTAAATATCGGATAGTAAATCAACAGAAAATAGACAAAATGAATGAAATGAAAAGTTCTTTAAAAAAATCCACAAATGAATAAACTGGATAATTTTAATTAGAAAATAAAATATAAATAGAAGATATAATTAAAACAAATGTATTAACAGTAAAACAAAATTATTTACTGTAGCATCAGAAGAAACAGATACCTAGGAATTGATCTATCAAAGGATGTACAAGATCTCTATGTTAAAAACTATGGAATATTGAGGAAAAAATTTAAAGAGAAATAGTGAGCTATACCATGTTCATAAATAAAAGCTTCAAATTTTTACTATGCAAACTATCCATGCATTGATCTCTAGTTTCAATGTAATAATAAAAATTTCAGCAAGTTTTGAATATTGTTAATGTAATTCTAAACTTTACATAAAAACAAATTTAATAGAATAGCCAAGACAGTTTTGAAGAAGGAAACCAAATTGGACATCTTACACTACCATGTGTCAATAATTACTACAAGGATATTTTAATTAAGATAGTACGGATATGATGCTGTAAAAGACAAAAAGACTAATTGGAATAGAACCCAGAAACAGACTCACATATATATGGTCACCTGGTTTATAATAAATATACTTCTGAAATTCAGTAAAGAAAGATTACATGATGCCAGTTCAAATTGGATATCCATACAAAAAAAGAAAACCTTGGTACCTACCTTACAACTTTGTAAGTATTAATTGTAGAAGCATCATAGACCTAAATAGAAAATATAAAGCAATAAAATTATACAAGAAAGCAGAGAAAAATATCTTTATGAGATCAGCATAAGCAAAACATTTATAAACTGGTAACAAAACACTATACACTGCTGCAGTGAATGTAAATTTTTATAACCACTTTGGAAAACTGCCCATATCTCCTCAAGCTAAGCATATATATATCCCATGAATCAGAAATTCCACTTGGAAATATATGCAGCAAATACTAGAGTTCATATTCATTGAAAGACCTAAACAAATAAGCTAAAATGTGTTTAATTTATAATAGTTGATTAATGGACTTAACCTTGTTATGATCTGAATGTGTCCCTTCAAAATTTATGTTGAAACCTAATCCCTATTGTGGGGGTATTAAGAGGCAGGGCCTTTTGTGAAATGATTAAGTCATGAGGGCTTTCCCTTCATGAATGGAATTAGTGCTTTTATAAAAGATGTTGAAGGGAAAACCCTTGCCCACTTCCATCATGTGAGGATACAGCATTCTGCCCTTCTACCATGTGAGCACACAAAATCAAGACACCATCTTTGAAGCAGAGCCCTTGCCAGAAACTAAATCTGCTAGGACCTTGATCTTGGACTTCCCAGACAGCTTTCCAGAGCTGTAAGCAATTAATTTCTGTTGTTAATAAATGTCCAAGTCTAAGGTATTTTGATATAGCAGCTTGAATAACCTAAGACAAATCCTAATGTTTATTAGTACTAAATGTGTAAATAAATTGTAGTATGTTTATACAACAGAATAATAATACATAAAATTTTAAAAGAACAAATTTCTGGGACATGTAAGTTATGTATGAATCTTAGAGACAAAATATTGAGAAAAAGATGCTAGACATGAAAAGATACATATTACACGACTATGTATATTGAGTTCAATAAAGGCAAAACCAATCTACCTGCATGGAAGTCAAATGTGTGACTAATTTTTGAGGAAATATTTGAATGTGTAAGAATTAGATAGCAATCTTGTGTGATATGGAAAATCTGATGTGCAGTTACATGGATAGATATGTATGTAAAAATTAGTTGTTCTCTTACAACTAAACTAAACTCTTACAACTAAACTCTGTGCAATTTATTATAGTTAGATAAATGGAAATATTTGAAAACAAAATGTGAGGTACATCTATACTTGCTCTTATTGGAAGAAGCTCAAAGATAATACACTGCAGAATTTAAAATTTTCTATAAGAAATTTGTTGCATCAATAAAAGGACACTATGTACATAAATACACACATATGTTTACACAATTTATGTGTGTGAATGAATGAATTTTACATACCATTATATGTTTTCTCTTGAAAAATAAACAAAAACTTTCATTTATTGGTGACTGTTGTAGACACAGAAGTTGGGGATGGGGAAGAGGGGAGACTGCATTTGTCTTTCATCTTCTTAGATTTTTCTGAATGTATTTTTTTTAGTAGTCTGAATGTATTCTTTATATGGAATTTAGAAAAATAACCAAAAAACCTGGGAAGTTCCATTTTAGACCATTTTTATTTTTTAATATTTTCTCTATTTTAAATAACTAATAAAAGTTATAAAATGTAATGTATATTTCTATTTAAAATTATGTTATAGTAACAGACACAAAATAATTCTCACATAAATGATACGTACACACTGTTTTAAGTACAAGTTATATCCATGAAACGTAAGTAAAATGTATTTATAAGCATATTTATGAAAAAAATCTAAATGCAGAATTTTCAAAACAGAATTCACACTGAAACATGTAATAATAATGAATGACATAGTTTTTCAGATTTGTTATTTAAAATTTGTGTGAGTCATAAAATTATTTTGCTTCCATTGACTTGGATATTTATAATGATATTTGTGGTGTGATTATGGTGAGGCTTCAATGTTTTAAATTTTATTTAGGAAGAAAAATTATGTAAAGGCATGATGTAAGATTTTTTTTCAGAAGAAAAAATTTAAAACATTTTTTCTGTCTATCAATAGAAGATGAATTTTTTACCAAATTAAATTATGGGATAATCACACCTGAAATTTCAAGCAGAAATTCAAAAGAATGAGATAGTTTTATAATGATTTTCATAGACAGATCTGTACAATATGCTTTAAGTAAAGCAGACAACCTTTCCAATTTTTATTTAAAAATAATTAACATCATCACTGGCCATCAGAGACATGCAAATCAAAACCACAATGAGATACCATCTCACACCAGTTAGAATGGTGATCATTAAAAAGTCAGGAAACAACAGGTGCTGGAGAGGATGTGGAGAAATAGGAACATTTTACGCTGTTGGTGGGACTGTAAACTAGTTCAACCATTGTGGAAGTCAGTGTGGCGATTCCTCAGGGATCTAGAACTAGAAATACCATTTGACCCAGCCATCCCATTACTGGCTATATACCCAAAGGATTATAAATCATGCTGCTATAAAGACACACGCACAGGTATGTTTATTGTGGCACTATTCACAATAGCAAAGACTTGGAACCAAGCCAAATGTGCAACAATGATAGACTGGATTAAGAAAATGTGGCACATATACACCATGGAATACTATGCAGCCATGAAAAAGGATGAGTTCATGTCCTTTGTAGGGACATGGATGAAGCTGGAAACCATCATTCTCAGCAAACTATCGCAAGGACGAAAAACCAAACACCGTATGTTCTCACTCATAGGTGGGAATTGAACAATGAGAACACATGGACACAGGAAGGGGAACATCACACACCGGGGCCTGTTGTGGGGTGGGGGGAGGGGGGAGGGATAGCATTAGGAGATATACCTAATGCTAAATGACGAGTTAATGGGTGCAGCACACCAACATGGCACATGTATACATATGTAACAAACCTGCACCTTGTGCACATGTACCCTAAAACTTAAAGTATAATAATAATAAAATTAAAACAAAATAAAAAAATAAAAAATAAATAAAAATAAAAATGCAAAAAAAAAATTAACATAAAATGACGTGTATGTGTGTGGGTGTGCATGTGTGGGTGTCTGCTGTTTTTGTGTGTGTGTGTGTGCACAAGTGTGCATTTCAATGTTTATATGAATGTATATAAAAAGGTCTAGAAAGAAACATTAACTGTAAGTAATAGCTACCATTGGAGAGGATAATAGGATTGGCAGGGGACTTGTGTGGAAGATAAAATAGGCTTTAACTCTTCAATCTATGAACTTGCCTCCTGTTTGAATTATTTCACGATAAACAAAGGGTTATGCAGCGCATTTCATGTGAAAAAAAAGAACACAATTAAATTCTGCAGATGGTATATGATTCCCTAAATCACAAATGCAAAGAAATTAAGAATCTGCCTATATTGAAATAAAACCTCAAACTGACAATTTCTTATCAGTAACATAACTGTCAAGATAGTCACCCACACAGCCACTTTAAAATCCATTTTGAAAACACACTGTGATGTTCTGTTTTTAAAAATAAATATGTGATCTTCCCCAGTTTTAAAGAAATGATCCAGTGGTCTCCAATCAGAGACGTAGTCAGTGTTTTTCCAGAATGCTAATTTGTCTTTAAAGGCTATCCTTCCTGTATCCAACATAGATCATTTGTACTGAGTATTTTGGTGTTTACTAACTGTGCATTTGAAATAGGGATTTTTTTGTGAAGTGGCTTGAGAGTAAAATGTGCAATAGAGAATTGATAAGAATGGCCCTAAATCTAATAACCATCTCCTTGTGCTGGCTGAAAACAGAGGACTTGAGCTTTCTGATAAGAGCACCCACTCAGCAAAAATAGTCCTTTTAGTCAGTGCAAAACTTAACAGCTCCTCTCTTAAATGAACTGACTTTCATTCTCTGAAATACGTCTGAATAAAGCAACAGCAATCAAATGGTTGTTCCTGCGACGTTTAACTGAACTGCAGCATGGAATCTCACGATGAAAAATTAAATAGAATGTATGAGATCTCCACTCCAAAAAGGTAGGGTCCAATAAAAGAAAGTTGTATAAAGGAAGAAGAAAATCCTTGATATTTATATCAGTTTAGTTTGCTTCTCCTCTAAAGTATTTATTGAAGGCCAATGATAAGTCTAACAATGCTTTTGCACATAGCAGGTATTTAAAATACATTATTTCTTGTCTCATTGAATTTCTTTCTCTAGCCCTACAGGACACACAATAATCATAAGACTTAGTAATTAATTCACAGCCCTGCATCCAGTTTTCATGTAAAGATTAACACTTCAGTAAAAGTACCCCTTTATACGTGGTCTGTAAACCTGGCTTCTGTTTATTCTTCCTCCATCTCTTCTACCATGTTTTCCTTTCACTTACTTCTAGTCATCCTGGACTCCTTTCTATTCCTAGAACTTACCAAGTTCATTCCTCTCAGAATACTTACATTGTCTTTCCTACTTGTCTGAACTGCTCATCCACTGGGTTATACATATCTTTTTCCAGTCATTCCCATAGTTGCTAATATGGTTTGGCTGTATCCTCACCCAAATCTCATCTTGAATTGTAACTCCCACAATTCCCACATGTCATGGGAGGAACCCAGTGGGAGATGATTGAATTATGGGGGTGGGTCTTTCCTGCACTGTTTTCATGTTAGTGAATGAGTCTTACAAGATCTGATGGTTTTAAAAACAGGAGTTTCCCTGAACAAGCTCTCTTTGCCTGCTGCCATCCATGTAAGACGTAACTTGCTCGTCATTGCCTTTCACCATGATTGTGAGGCCTCCCCAGCCATGTGGAACTATAATTCCATTAAACCTCTTTTTCTTTCCAGACTCGGGTATGTCTTTATCAGCGCATGAAAATGGACTAATATAGTTGCTCACATATTATCTCCCCAGAGAGTCCTGGCTGTTCATCCTATTTAATATTATCTGACACACCTTCTCTTCCATTATCCATTTTTAATTTTCTCATAGCATAGATAATTTTCTGAAAATAAGAGATTTATTTGCTTATTGCTTATTTTCTTATTTCTCCAATATGATATTAACACTGGGAAAGCAGGATTCTCTTTCATTAACTACTTTATGTTTAAATCTTAGGACATTTATTAATATATTTTTAAAAATCTGATGAATGAATTAATCAATACAAAATAATTATCATCTGTCATTTAAAATATAATTATTGTGTCATTTAAAAGGAATAAATTGTTTCCTAGACAATAATAGATAAAATGTAGTTAACAGACAGTATAGTCTAAGAAATGAGGGTCACCAAAGATATGATCAATCTTCTCGTTAAAGGATTTCACAGTTGCAAATCTTTCACTTAAAGAAAAGGAGAACTGAAAGTCTTGGCACGGATTGCTGTTTCAGGTGATCTTTTGAGTATCAGGCCCTTTAAAAAAGAAATAGCCTACTTGGGTGTTTCCTTTGTCTTTTATTATTTTTTTCTTTTAAAAATTGATGTTAGATTTACATAAAACAAAATCAACCATTTCAAGTGTGCAACTCAGTGGCATTTTATATATTCACAATTTTGTGCAACCACCACCTCTACCTAATTCCAGAAACTTTTCATCACTGCAAAATAATATCCCATACCTATTAAGCAGTTGCTTCACATTTCCTCACTCTTGGCAATATCAATCTGCTTTCTGACTCTATGGGTTTACCTATTTGCTATTGTCTGAATATTTGTGTAACTGCATAGGTCACATGTTGAAATCCTAACCCACAAAGTGATGGTATTAAGAAGAGCAGCCTTGGGGAGGTGATTAGGTCATGAAGGTAAAACCTTCAGGATAGCCATTAAATGCCCTAATGAAAGAGACCCCAGAGGGCTACCTTCTTCTTGTCATTATGTGAGGACAGCAAAAAGTCACTGTCTGTGAATCAAGAAACATGTCCTCATCAGACTCTGAATCTGCCAGTGCCTTGATCATGGACTTCCCATTCTCCAGAACTGTGGAAAATAAATTTCTATTTTTTTATAAGCAATCCAGTTTATGTTGTTTTCTTAAAGCAGCCCAAACAGAATAAGATGCTATTCTGGATACTTCATACAAATGAAATCCTACAATATGTGTCTGGCTTATTTTAATTAAAATAATGTTTTCAAGATTCATCCATGTTGTAGCATGAATCAGTACTTCATTCATACCCAAATTTGTTCATCCATTCATCCATTGGTGAACACCTACATTGTTTCTACTTTTTGACTATTGTAAGTAGTACTACTATGAACTTGAGTATGGTTTTAAAGGGATGATAATTATAGACCATCCCTTACTCAAAAATAAATGTTTAAGGCTAGTGGTAATCAAATTGTGGCAAGAAGTCGTCTATATTTTTATTTTTATTCTTTATATTGTCTGAGATAACAACATATTTTTATATTGGGTTACTTCATTGATAATTGGAGCTGTGTGTTGGGGCTCATATATCAACTCAGAAGGAAAACAGACTGCCAAATAGGAAATCTTTGTTACCAAACTATTTACCATGTTTAATTTTTATTAAGATATCTATTTAGTTGTGTTTTCTCTGCGGCAAGATCTGGGTCACATTCCTCTTTGTCTTCTTAACTTTCATATCTGAGCTTGATACATAAATGTTTAATGAAAAACATGAATTAAATGAATAAATGACACATCCGTATAAGAATAAGTAAAAAAAAAACTTGATGGGAGTGCAACTCTGAAAGATGAGTCAATTGTAGTCATTCTTAAAGAAGAGAGAAAAATAGTGAGGATTTGTACATGCCTGGGAGGAAGCTTCAAAATGAATATATGAATTAAAGGAGTTTTGCAATGGATTAATCATATTATGAAGTATGATTTCTATTTTTTTCTAATGCCAACTGATTCTCCAACTCTGCAGACATTAACTGCTTTTCCTGTAATTCAATTCAATCCTGACACTAACTATCTGGAGTTAGCATTGTATTACCCAAGCAAAAGGGCTTAGTCCCATAAGTCTACTCCCACTTCAGATGCCAATTGCAAGTCCTCCTCCTCCCACATTTCTGACCAACTGGCTATAAATGAGGGGTTCCTATAACTCCCTTCTCAGGTGTGCTAACTTTCTAGAGCAGCTCACAGAACTCAAGAAGTCACTTTACTGTTTCTTGTTAATGAACCAGAAAAAAAAAAGACAACTCAAAAGCAAGCAAATGGAAGAGATACTAGGATAAGGTATAGGTGTTGAGCAGAGCTTTCTTCATGCCCTCTATGGAAATGCCACCTTCCTGGCACATAGATGCATTTATCAGTGCAAAAGTTCTCTAACCCCTATCATTTAGGGTTTTCCAAGGAGGATTCATTATATAGGCATGACTGATGAAAGTATCAGCCATTGGTGATTATTTCCAGCTCTCCTCAGAGGCCAGGTGAGTAGAGCTGACCCAAGTTCCAACCCTCTAATCATGTCTTGGCCTTTCTGGTGACAGCCTCCTTTCTGAGGATTTCTGGGAGACCCAATCCATCAGTCACCTTATTAGCACCCAAAAATACTCTACTGTCCCTCTAAAGATTCCAAGGACTTCAGAGGCCCTTGTGTCAGGGATCCAGGATTAAGATGTAATAATACTGCAAAAGTTATATAGTTGTATATGCATGGCACAACTATCATCCAGATTTTCCCACTCAAGCATGTCCACGAAGGGTAATAAAATGGCAAGTGTGCAGGCTAGATGTGCCAGTGGCAGGGTACCCATGATTCCCTACATGGAGTCAAGACCTACATGCATTACTCACTGTATATTTTGCATATTCTTTGCTTTGTAAAGTTATTGTTGAAAATGTGAAAAAGGTCTGCAGATAACCTTAAGAGTAACAATGTTAAGAAGAAGATAATGCATTTATGCTTATCTACAGCACAGAAATTCAAGCTGTTGGAGAAAATAACAATATAAATGTAAAATATATTACAGAAGAGTATCGTGTTGAAATGACCACCATAAATGTCCTGAAAAAATTAAAAGATAAACTAATGATATTTTATGCTGAAAATGATGAACAGAAAGAAGTTAATGAAAAATAGAAAAACACTGCATAAAGCTAAAAATGAAGATCTCAATTGTGTATTGAAAGAGTGGATCTGTCAGCATGGCAGTGAACACATACCACTCAGTGGTATGCACGTCATTAAACAAAATTCTATCATGATGAACTGAAAACTGATGGGAATTGTGAATATGTAAGCTCTTTGCAGAAATTTAAGAAAAGGCAGGATATTACATTTTTAAAAAATTTGTGGTGATAGGCTGGGCGCGGTGGCTCACGCCTGTAATCCCAGCACTTTGGGAGGCTGAGGTGGGCGGATCATGAGGTCAGGATATTGAAACCATCCTGGCTAACATGGTGAAACCCCGTCTCTACTAAAAATACAAAAAATTAGCCGGGCGTGGTGGTGCATGCCTGTAGTCCCAGCTACTCAGGAGGCTGAAGCAGGAGAATGGTGTGAACCCGGGAGGCAGAGCTTGCGAGAGCCGCTCTGCTCCTGCAGAGCCGAGATTGTGCCACTGCACTCCAGCCTGGGTGACAGAGCAAGACTCCATCTCAAAAAAAAAAAAAAAAAAAAAAAATTGTGGTGATATAACATCTGCTGATCGCAAAGCAGTGAATAAATTTATTGATGAGTTTGCCAAGGCTATTGCTGATAAAAAGCTGATGCCAGAACAAGTTTAGAATGCTGATGACACATTATTTTGGTAATTTTGCTCCAAAAATACACTGACTATAGTTGATAAAACAGCCCCTGCAGAAAGTAAGGATGCCAAGTGCAGAATAACTAAGCTGAGATATGCTAATGCAGGGAGCACATGTAAGTGGAACTTGCTGTGATAGGCAAAAGCTTGCATTCTTTCTGTTTTCAAGGAGTGGCTTTCTTACCAGTCCATTATGATGCTAGTCAAATTGCATGGATCACCAAGGACATCTTTTCTGATTGGTTTTACAAACATTTTGTGCCAGCAGCTCATTCTTACTGCACGGAAGCTGGACTGGATGATGACTGAAAGATTTTACTATTCCTTAACAACTGTTCTGCTCATCCTCCAGTTGAAATTCTCATCAAAAATAATATTTATGCCATGTATTTTATCCCAAATGTGATGATGCCCTCAGTCATGTGATCAGAGTATCCTTACATCAATGAAGAATAAGTATATAAACACTTTCTTGAACATGCTAGCAACAGTGAACTGAAATGTAGGTGTGGAAGATTTTCAAAAACAGTTCAGCATAAAGGATGCCATACATGCTATTGCCACTGCTTGGAACACAGTAACTAAAGACATGGCTGTGTGTGTCTGACACAATCTCTGGCCTGTGACTGTTCAATGATAATGATGGACAAAGTGATGACTTTGAAAAATTCTCTATGTCAAGTGAGAAAATAATGTCTGACTTCCTTGCATATGGAAAAAGTATACCTTCAGTGTGCATGAATAAGCTGGAAGAAGTAGATATCAAAGTAGTTTTTAACATACATAATAAGGCCCCAGTTGTTCATTCATTGACTGATGGTGAAATAACCCAAATGGTTTGGAACCAAGGTGATTGTGATAATAGTGATGACAAAGATGATGCTTTCAATACTGCAGAAAAGATACCTATAGATGACATGGTGAAAATGTATAATGGGCTTATTGAAGGATTAGAGCAGTGTTCATTAACAGAATATAAAAAAAAAGTCAGCTTGTGAAAACAAAGAGAGACTAAGACAAAAAACATTGTTAATGAGGTAGATGACTGTGGAGAAAACATTTAAGAAACCCATCGAGCAGAATGCCTCCTTATCACTAAAGGGCCCACTTTCTGGCATCTCAAATGTTTCTGATTTTTGTATCATCTAAAAAAGAAAAAAAATAAAATACAGTGTACAGTAACCTTTTAGTCAAAACACAGCATTGTAGTTAGAAACTGTGAGCCTGCCTTTATTGTTTAACAGCTGATACAGGTATTCTCGTGATGCTGCTGTGCTGCTGAGTTATCCTGAACAGGTTACTTTTCACTGTATTAATGGTATGTCATATTTTTTACTGTTAGGTGCTTAAATGTAAATGAATTTAAGAAAATGGTTGTTTAATCAGCAGCATATAAATTCAGTTAGGAATAATGATGATTCCAAACAACCACAGATTGTCCACATGGGTGGCTGAGAGAGTGACACCTTTGCTTTCTGATGGCTTCAATGTATGCAAACTTTGTCTCAAATACAAAATTATTAAAAATATTATAAAAATTATATTTAGGTTATGGGTATAATATGTATATGACACAAATAAATTTTATGTTTAGATCTGCATCTCATTCCCAAGATATCTCATTATATATATGCAAATACTCCAAAATCCAAAAAAAAAAATTCTTAATCTTAAACACTTCTCATTCCATGCATTTAGAGTAAGGGATACTCCACTTGTATTCCAATATCACAAGCTCCCAATCTCTTCGCACATCCATTCCTGTATCCATCCTTTAGTATATTTCTTGATTTCAAAAAATAAGGCATCTATTTCTAGTATCTGTATCTGGCAGGGAAGGAAAAAAAAGACAGATTTCTAACTCTAGAGGAATCAAAATGTCTACTGTGTCAAATACTGTTAGGTAACACAGAGCTTCACTTCAAATTAGAAGTAAGTAAGAATTCCCTGCTCTTGAAAGCAAGAAAAAAGGATACAATTTGAGAAACTTTGACGAAGCTTTTATGCTCTGAAAGTTACAGACTACCCCGGAGACAAAGGTAATATCATGGGTAAGAACAACTCTTCATTGGCAAAGAAATAATTTATTTTCTTAGACAAGTACAAATGGAGGATAAGAGTTGTTAAAGTGATGTGGTAATCAAACTATCCTAGTAATGGTTCTTGTCACCTTCAATCACAACCAAAAATGCCTATAAAAGAAGCCTAATTATTATTGCCTAATTGTTACTGAAGGTAAAAAATAATCCTTAGAATTTTCTGACGTTTACCATATTTCCAGAAAACCCTTTGATGCTAAGTGTATTCATGTCAAGATGACACCACCACCCAGATTTTTCTTCAGAGAATCAGTTTTATAAGAAAAAAATACTCTTAGTCGAAACAAAAATACTCCACAATTGAAGAGAGAGTTGCTTCAAATTATTTTTGGCACAGTCTACTCGTTTAAAAATGCATTGACTCTCCATAACGTGTTCATTCAGATGTTATAGCGACACAGATGTCACACAGTTACTCAGACATTACTGGTCAGTACTTTGCATGCATGGGTGCTGCAACTGCTACACTTTATCTTCTTGTGGAGTTGGCTTTCTATTGCAGAAAACTGTTATTTTCCCTTCCTTCTATGGTTAATAGAAATTGGCTTGTCTTCATGGCAGTAATCTTATTTGTTGTAAGCTTCCGGCATTTCTTTTTTAAAACTGTTTTTTTTTTTTTTTTGATAGAAATGTTTTAGGAAGCAAGTTTGAAAAACTGGAAACTGATTTATCTCCTTAAGAAATGGCATTTCTTGGCAATCTTCTTTCAGTCCTTGAAAACATTTGGAGGTTCTTTTGGTCTGTAGCATTTTTTTCCCCATCTTCTTTCACCCAATTTATTTTTTCTTTTGCTCCCTCCCACTTTCTCTCTTCCTCTCTTCTCTTTTCTCTCTCCCTTTCATATACATAACACACACATTTTCGTGTTTTATATCTTAAACTTCTTTGCACTACTTAGTCCAAGTCAGTACAGCTTAATACATTAAAAGGTAAGTAGGTTGTAGTTCCCTACTGTATTGCAGCAATTCTCATTAACCGTAACTTGCATCCATACTCTCAGCTTAGAATAAGGAACTTATTGGAAATACCTATGCACATAACATTGACCTTACTTATAAGAGGTTTTGTTTTGTTTTGTTTTGGTCGGGGGGTGCTGTAGATATAAAACAGGAGTCTGTAACTAGGCTTTAAATCTGAACAGTAGGGCTATCCTTCCTCATTGCTACCAATCAAATAACCTTCGTTAGATCCTTACTCAATTAGTATTTCTTTAAAATTAGTTATTACATATGCAATGATCTTTCGCTCTTTTCTGTTCAAAAAGTCAGGTTCTAGCATATTGTTTGTACCTTCACCATATGTTGGAGTCATTAACAAATAATCTTTCATTCTTCAAAGGCTTTGCAGAAAAGATGCACATACATTTTTACATTTAAGGTGGTTTGACTTGAAACTAGCAATACCATTTTGTGTAGGAATTAGCATATCTTTTATTTTATTAACTGTCTTCATTCCCACCATGTAAATTATATCTCTGAAGTATTGTTCTGACATTTCAGAATGGTCTCTGAAAGGTAGACAGACTTAATCTGTCAGGTTTCACATGGTTGAAAGTCAAGAATTTGGCTCTGTAAATGTTTGAGTTGGTCAAAGGTGCTGGTTTATTTTGAAGGTAAGTCTTAGCTCTTCACAATTATTAGTACTCATTTGATTAGGTAAAATAAATATTTTTTGACAAGTACCATTGAGTTATATGAGAAGCATTTACAGGTATGTTTGGTTTCAGAGATCCCAAGCCACATGAATGGATTCATTCTAGAATTTGACATTGTTGCCTTTTGGGAGATAAAAAAAAAAAAAAAACAAACAACTTTTGCCTTGACAGAAAATCTTCTCTGGGAAATTACTCAGAGTCCATAAAAAAAAAGGATGAAAGCATAACAAATCCAAGAGGTTTTTACCTGAATAGCCTTAGTGCAATGGTCAGCCAAATCTAAATAATGGGTTTTGTGTGTATGCCTGTATGTAAAATCTGGACCAATTCTGTTACGATAGTCCTACTTTCAATAGAAAAAGTCTAACATTCCATCATTTAGAAGTAAAATACATGGTTCACAAGTGTAGGGGTTAGACTCAGCTATCATGAGACATGTTGAGAATAAGGTTTTATTGATATTTTATAGGGATGCCTGTATTAACATTTGCCTGTAACCTATTGATCGGTTATTAGTAGCGTGATAAAGTCAGCCAGCTGGTAATGTTTTAAGAGGATCACTGCTTTTCTTCACGAAGGGTTAAGTATTATCATCAAACACAGAATAATAGCGGGGAAGCCTAGACCTATCATCATGAAGCTGGATGGCAAGTGTGAGATGCAGATACGTAGCTGAAAGCTAGAAGTTGTAAAAGCCAAAGGAATAATGAAATAAACTGGAAAAAGAACGTTGAGCCAGCAGAGCAACTCCATGCTACATAGGCAATTGCACACTTAGAGGACAGATTGTGATTGTGTCACTCAAGAGCTTTTTTTTTTATTATTATACTTTAAGTTTTAGGGTACATGTGCACAATGTGCAGGTTAGTTACATATGTATACATGTGACATGCTGGTGCGCTGCACCCACTAACTCGTCATCTAGCATTAGGTATATCTCCCAATGCTATCCCTCCCCCCTCCCCCTACCCCACAACAGTCCCCAGAGTGTGATGTTCCCCTTCCTGTGTCCATGTGTTCTCATTGTTCAATTCCCACCTATGAGTGAGAACATGTGGTGTTTGGTTTTTTGTTCTTGTGGTAATTTACTGAGAATGATGATTTCCAATTTCATCCATGTCCCTACAAAGGACATGAACTCATCTTTTTTTATGGCTGCATAGTATTCCATGGTGTATATGTGCCACATTTTCTTAATCCAGTCTATCATTGTTGGACATTTGACTTGGTTCCAAGTCTTTGCTATTGTGAATAGTGCCACAGTAAACATACCTGTGCGTGTGTCTTTATAGCAGCATGATTTATAGTCCTTTGGGTATATAGCCAGTAATGGGATGGCTGGGTCAAATGGTATTTCTAGTTCTAGATCCCTGAGGAATCGCCACACTGACTTCCACAATGGTTGAACTAGTTTACAGTCCCACCAACAGTGTAAAATTGTTCCTATTTCTCCACATCCTCTCCAGCACCTGTTGTTTCCTGACTTTTTAATGATTGCCATTCAAAAGCTTTTGATGGCAAGAGAAACAAAGAATCAACTTCCTCAGATGTGCAGTTTACGGTCAGTTATTTTGACACAAGGGTTTCTCTGATGCTAACATTCTCTAACAAAAGTACTTTCTCTCGTTCGAAGAGCCTGGAACAGGTAATTCATTTTGTTTTCTGACCTTTGGATACTATCTAGTCAAAAAGGACCTGGCAACTCTTGAACTCTTGCAACCAACTATTAGTTTTCATTCTAGAGGTGGTAATTTCTAGAGAAACAAAATAATACCAGAAGTAAATGTGGTTTCCACTTCAATTTGGATGACTTGGCATATGATTTTATGTTGTTTCTCAATTCTAAATCCCATTAATGATAGCAAAAATGTACAAGCAGGAATACGACCTTAAAGATATGAATTGGAAGATGGAACATCAGAATATAAGGGATTTTGGTGTCTTCTGAAAACAAAAGCACATGGAATGTATCAAAGCTTAAAGAATACTGCTAGCCAGCCAGTATCCACAAATATTTGTTTGAGCTGACCTTTAACTGCCCTATTTTCACCATTATCATTGCAAAATCAGCATTTTGCATCAGTTTAAAATCAGCAGTATACAAATTGAATGACATACCTGAACCAGGCTAACAGTTTATAATATAAATTTTAGTTTCTGAGAATAAAGTCATTCCCACTTTATTAATATATGCCTAAAGTTAAACTCAGTCTTGCCCATCCTTAATTTAAAACAGCTTTAATTTTAAAACTTTGACTTGTAAGTTTAACTTTAAAGTTACAAATTAATACTCTTTAGCAAAAGATCTATAGATCAGTAGAAAAAAATCCATAGAGAACACCCAGTGGAGAGCTGTGTTAGATTTCTATTACGTCTGCAGCATCTTACCACAAACTTAGTAACTTAGAACACGAATTTATTGTCATCATACAATTATGGAAGTCAGAAGTCCAAAATAGGTCTCAATGGGCTAAAATCAAGATTTTATGTCAGCAGTATCAGCATGGCTGCAGTCTTTCTGGATGCTCTAGAGGAAAATTTCTACCCCTAACCCCCACCCACCCAACCTTTACCCTGTAGATAATCAAGGATAATCTCCCTGTTTCAAACTCAGTTGATTACCAACCTTAATTCTATATTTTATTTTACTTTCTCTTTGCTTTAACGTATTCAATGCTCTTTGGATTAACTCATGGATATCTTCCGGAAGCCATTTTTTTCTACCTATATAAATAGTTAACTGTATAAATTAACTTAATATTTTGTCCATAAATATGAATAAACAGCCAAGATTATTTTGGAAATGAGAACAACAATATTAGGATAAAATCAAAGGAAACAATTGATACTTGAGGAAATAATAATAACTTAGAAAGCAATTTAAAGAAACAATGTTCTCAGGAGAAATCGAGGTGACAGACATAAAACAAGAATCACCTGTGATGAAAAAGGAATAATCACAAATTTAAAAGATGTTCTTGATAATTAAAACATGATGATCAAACAGTCATGAAAAAATAGTTGGGTGAAAAAGTTGAGAAACTTCCCGAGACATAAAGTGAAGTGACACAGCTTTGGAAATATAACCAAATTCCAAGATAGGTGGTGGTTACTTCAGAAGAAAAATGTCTGCTAATTAGATTTCAAAAAAGAGAACATAGAAAACAGATAACTTACAGAGAATGAATTATTGAACAGTAGAATAAATTTCTCCTTTATTTCCTTTTCCTTTTTACTTGTCCCCCATACCCCTAGTTGTTTTTCTTTGTTTTATAGCACTAACCACTATCTGCCATTTTATATAGTAATTTATTAATAAATAATAATAAATACATTATTTATTTTTCTGTGACAAAATCAAAATGTAATCTCTATGAACAAAAAAATTAGTCTATTTCACAGTCTTATATGTGGCACTCAGAATCATGCTTGAGATATAATAGGTGATTGATATTTATCACTTAGACATATTAATTAATTTTGTATTGATAATAAGTTCATCTTTGAAGAAGAAAGACAGCTCTTCTATGCTTTTCACATTCCCCAACCCCATTCCAAGGAATCTGCAGTTCTATAATGCAGTCAATACTTAGTCTGGACTTTAGGTCTCCTGTATTCTATAGTGCTATTCTTAATGTTTAATAGACTCAATTTTTTGATTAAAAATGTGAAGCATTTGGCATATTTGTTCTGAATATTAAATGAGAAATTATTCGTACACTCTGAATTCCTTCAGTACCAAATCTTCAACCATGTCCTTGAAACAAAAATCAAAGTGACATCTAAATCCTTAATTCTAAATTGAGAGTTTCTATAACATGAATATTTCCAAAAGTAGACACTAATTTGACAACATATATAGTGGAAAACCAGGAAGAAAATATAAAACTTCAAAATCCATTAAAATATTTTCTTTTCTTTTTTTTTAATTATTATTATACTTTAAGTTTTAGGGTACATGTGCACAATGTGCAGGTTAGTTACATATGTATACATGTGACATGCTGGTGTGCTGCACCCACTAACTCGTCACTTAGCATTAGTTATATCTCCTAATGCTATCCCTCCCCCCTCCCCCCACCCGACAACAGTCCCCAGAGTGTGATGTTCCCCTTCCTGTGTCCATGTGTTCTCATTGTTCAATTCCCACCTATGAGTGAGAACATGCGGTGTTTGGTTTTTTGTCCTTGCGATAGTTTACTGAGAATGATGATTTCCAATTTCATCCATGTCCCTACAAAGGACATGAACTCATCATTTTTTATGGCTGCATAGTATTCCATGGTGTATATGTGCCACATTTTCTTAATCCAGTCTATCATTGTTGGACATTTGACTTGGTTCCAAGTCTTTGCTATTGTGAATAGTGCCGCAGTAAACATACCTGTGCGTGTGTCTTTATAGCAGCATGATTTATAGTCCTTTGGGTATATAGCCAGTAATGGGATGGCTGGGTCAAATGGTATTTCCAGTTCTAGATCCCTGAGGAATCGCCACACTGACTTCCACAATGGTTGAACTAGTTTACAGTCCCACCAACAGTGTAAAATTGTTCCTATTTCTCCACATCCTCTCCAGCACCTGTTGTTGCCTGACTTTTTAATGATTGCCATTCTAATTGGTGTGAGATGGTATCTCATTGTGGTTTTGATTTGCATTTCTCTGATGGCCAGTGATGATGACCATTTTTTCATGTGTCTTTTGGCTGCATAAATGTCTTCTTTTGAGAAGTGTCTGTTCATATCCTCTGCCCACTTTTTGATGGGGTTGTTTGTTTTTTTCTTGTACATTTGTTTGAGTTCATTGTAGATTCTGGGTATTAGCCCTTTGTCAGATGAGTAGGTTGCGAAAATTTTCTCCCATTTTGTAGGTTGCCTGCTCACTCTGATGGTAGTTTCTTTTGCTGTGCAGAAGCTCTTTAGTTTAATTAGATCCCATTTGTCAATTTTGGCTTCTATTGCCATTGCTTTTGGTGTTTTAGACATAAAGTCCTTGCCCATGCCTATGTCCTGAATGCTAATGCCTAGGTTTTCTTCTGGAGTTTTTATGGTTTTAGGTCTAACGTTTAAGTCTTTAATCCATCTTGAATTAATTTTTGTACAAGGTGTAAGGAAGGGATCCAGTTTCAGCTTTCTACATATGGCTAGCCAGTTTTCTCAGCACCATTTATTAAATAGGGAATCCTTTCCCCATTACTTGTTTTTCTCAGGTTTGTCAAAGATCAGATAGTTGTAGATATGCGGCGTTATTTCCGAGGGCTCTGTTCTGTTCCATTGATCTATATCTCTGTTTTGTACCAGTACCATGCTGTTTTGGTTACTGTAGCCTTGTAGTATAGTTTGAAGTCAGGTAGTGTGATGCCTCCAGCTTTGTTCTTTTGGCTTAGGATTGACTTGGCGATGTGGGCTCTTTTTTGGTTCCATATGAACTTTAAAGTAGTTTTTTCCAATTCTGTGAAGAAAGTCATTGGTAGCTTGATGGGGATGGCATTGAATCTATAAATTACCTTGGGCAGTATGGCCATTTTCACGATATTGATTCTTCCTACCCATGAGCATGGAATGTTCTTCCATTTGTTTGTCTCCTCT